>NC_000001.11:246790182-246941697 GCF_000001405.40 Homo sapiens | reverse complement strand
CTATAATGAAGGTAATGAAGGGTAGTTACCTAACTTTAAAATTAGGCCCTTTTAAAATAAGAGAATTCAGGGGCTGGGCATGGTGGCTCACACCTGTAATCCCAGCACTTTGGGGGCTGAGGCGGGAGGATCACTTGAGCCTAGGAGTACTAGACCAACCTGGGCAACATGGTGAGACCCTGTCTCTATAATTTTTTTTTTTTTTTTAAGAAATCAATTGGATGTGAAATTTTTTTTTTTTTTTTTTTTTTTTTTTTTAAGATGGAGTCTTGCTCTGTCTGTCGCCGAGGCTGGAGTGCAGTGGCGCGATCTCGGCTCACTGCAAGCTCCGCCTCCTGGGTTCACACCATTCTCCTGCCTCAGCCTCCGGAGTAGCTGGGACTACAGGCGCCCGCCACCGCGCCCGGCTAATTTTTTTTTGTATTTTTAGCAGAGACGGGGTTTCACTGTGGTCTCGATCTCCTGACCTCGTGATCCACCCGCCTCGGCCTCCCAAAGTGCTGGGATTACAGGCGTGAGCCACTGCGCCCGGCCAGAAAAAAAATTAAACATTATCTCTGGCTGTGAAAAAAAGTAAGGAAATTCAGAATCATATGAGTAACAGAAGTCTAAAAGATGATTATAGAGCTGTCATTTGAAAAAGTGCCTTTTATCCAATTGGTGGGGAATGAGTCTGTGACCCAACCACTTCTAGTGAATTAATGGCTTAACCAAAACCAGAATGTGGGATTAAACATTTCTATGACTGACTAGAATGCTGAGTGTTTATTGTAATTATCAGTAAGATACTTATGAGAGAACTGTAGCTCTCCTTGATTTTAAAGTTGCCTTTATAAAAATATTTCAAACAAAAAATTTTTTTAAAAATAAAATTTTAAAAAAGAAAAAATAATAATTTTTCTTTTTTTTTTTTTTTTTAAGATGGAGTCTCACTCTGTAGCCCAGGCTGGAGTGCAGTGGCATGATCTCGGCTCACCGCAAGCTCCGCTTCCCGGGTTCACGCCATTCTCCTGCCTCAGCCTCCTGAGTAGCTGGGACTACAGGCGCCCGCCACTACGCCCGGCTAATTTTTTGTATTTTTAGTAGAGACGGGGTTTCACCGTGTTAGCCAGGATGGTCTCGATCTCCTGACCTCGTGATATGCCCGCCTCGGCCTCCCAAAGTGCTGGGATTACAGGCGTGAGCCACGGTGCCCGGCCATAATAATGTTTTCATTGAATGATGTTGTTCTGATTGCTTTGCTGAGGGACACAGTCACTGGTCTTCTTAAGCTGTGCCTTGAATGATGCCTACCCCAAATATTCAATAAATATTTGATGGATGAACAACTGAACAAATAAATGAATGATAAGAAACTGAAACAAAGTAAAACTGTGCTAAAAAAAAATACTACCATACAATCATGATTTAGGCTGGGCGTAGTGGCTCACGCCTGTAATCCCAGCACTTTGGGAGGCCGAGGCGGGCAGATCACGAGGTCAGGAGATCGAGACCATGCTGGCTAACATGGTGAAACCCCGTCACTACTAAAAATACAAAAAAAATTAGCTGGACGTGGTGATGGGCGCCTGTAGTCCCAGCTACTCAGGAGGCTGAACCACGAGAATGGCTTGAACCCGGGGGTCGGAGGTTGCAATGAGCCGAGATCGCGCCTCTGCACTCCAGCCTGGGTGACAGAGCGAGACTCTGTCTCAAAAAAAAAAGAAAACAAAAATAAAATAAAATAAAATAAAATAAAATAAGACTGAGAATCTAATAAATGTGGCACAAAGCACTTGTTAAAATGGGTGACCTATTCCCTCAATGGAACATCAGACTTGACTGTCCTTATTTCCATCACTTTCTACTACAGAACCAACTTTTCTTTTCTTTTTCTTTTTTTTTTGAGACAGAGTCGCTGTGTCACCAGGCTGGAGTGCAGAGGCACAATCTCAGCTCATTGCAACCTCCGACCCCCGGGTTCAAGTGATTCTCCTGCCTCAGCCTCCCGAGTAGCTGGAATTACAGGTGCCCACCACCACGCTCATCTAATTTTTGTATTTTTAGTAAAGATGGGGTTTCACCATGTTGGCCAGATGGTCTCGATCTCTTGATCTTGTGATCCACCCGCCTCAGCCTCCTGAAGTGCTGGGATTACAGGCGTGAGCCACTGTGCCCAGCTGGAACCAACTTTTCTTAGCTGGGTTTCCTTAGAGGCAGGGAGCTTCAGGCAGGTGACAGATTTGCAGCTCATGAGCAATACTTGCAATGCCATTGACTGTAAGAAGCTTATAACTCTCTTGTGCCCTCTGGAATCCAACAGAACAACACCAGAAGGCAAGCATGAGTCTTGAGGTAAAGGTTGAAAATAAATAAAAAACGCAATGGTGTCTGAGTACACAGCTTCTAGTCAGCAATTGCAGGACAGTCACACGCTATGCAACTAGGTATTGGTCAACTACTGACTGCAAATGTAACTATGGTCCTCGAAGATTATAAAGGAGCTGAAAAACTCCTATTGCCTGGTGACATAGCCATCACTGACACCATACTGTAATTACTTGATTTCTTTATAAATGTAGTGTAGCCTACGTGTGCAGTGTTGATAAAGTCTACAGTAGAGAACAGTGAGTGTTCTAGGCCTGTGTAGCCTATGTGTGCAGTATTGATAAAGTCTACAGTAGAGTACAGTGAGTGTTCTAGGCCTGTGTAGCCTAAGTGTACAGTGTGGATAGTCTACAGTAGAGAACAGTGAGTGTTCCAGGCCTGTGTAGCCTAAGCGTACAGTGTTGATAAAGTCTACAGTACAGTACAGTAGCGTCCTAGGCCTTCACATTCACTCCTCACTCACTCACTGAGAGCAACTTCCTGTCCTGCAAGCTCCATTCATGGTAAGTGCCCTAGACAGGTGGACCATTTGTATCTTTCATACCACATTTTTACTGTATCTTTTCTATGTTTGGATGCACAATTACTCACCATTGTGTTACAATTGCCTACAGTATTTGGTGCAGTAACATGCTGCACCGGTTTGTAGCCTGGGAGCCATAGGCTATCGCATATAGTCTAGGTGTGTAGTAGGCTATACTATTCAGGTTTCTGTAGGTACACTCTGATGTTTGTACAACAATGAAATTGTCATTTCTCAAAATGTTTCCCCATCATTAAGTGACATGTAACTGTATTTCAAGAGCTGTCATTAAGGGTGTTCTTTGGGTTTAAGTAACAGAGAAATCAGAATCTGAATAGTTTTAGCCAAAACACACAGATTTGTTGTTGTTGTTGTTGTTGAGACGGAGTCTCGCTCTGTCGCCCAGGCGGGAGTGCGGTGGCGCGATCTCGGCTCACTGCAAGCTCCGTCTCCCGCCATTCTCCTGCCTCAGCCTTCCGAGTAGCTGGGACCACAGGTGCCCGCCTAATTAGCCCGGCTAATTTTTTGTCTTTTTAGTAGAGACGGGGTTTCACCGTGTTAGCCAGGATGGTCTCGATCTCCTGACCTCGTGATCTGCCCGCCTCAGCCTCCCAAAGTGCTGGGATTACAGGCGTGAGCCACCGTGCCCAGCCCACACATAGATTTTTTAAAGTAACCTTTGAAGAAAATAATGTGAAAAAAACGGAGAAGTAGAAAGAGGAAAAATTTTAAGGAACAGATTAATTGTGGTACCTGTTAATGACAAATATTACCAGTGTTTGGAGAAAGAAATATAATCTGGCTTTTGGGGGGGGGGTACCATTCACGCAAACAATTTTTCAAATGCATAAAGACTATGATGACAAAAATATTTTACAATTTAAATGTTTGTTATTACTTTTCTTCTTTTATGACTGTAGGTTTGATTTAATGTTGAAGGGTGGGCCAGGCGTGGTAGCTCATGCCTGTCATCCCAGCACTTTGGGAGGCCAAGGCGGGTGGATCACCTGAGGTCAGGAGTTCAAGACCAACCTGACCAACATGGTGAAACCCCATCTCTACTAAAAATACAAAAAAAAAAAAAATTAGCTGGGCATGGTGGTGCATGTCTGTAATCCCAGCTACCCAGGAGGCTGAGTCAGGAGAATCGCTTGAACCCAGGAGAAGGAGGTTGCAGTGAGCCGAGATCACGCTACTGCACACCAGCCTGGGCAACAGGGCCAGAGTCTGTCTCAAAAAAATTTTAAAAATTAAAAAATTTTAAAAATTAAAAATTAAAAATGTTGAAGGGTGGCAGAGGATGGCACCCCAAAATATGCCTTTTGGCATAAGGATTATTTTGAGCTAAAGGCAGTTGAGAAACGGCTGATACAAAAGGGAAACGCTGCCTTCCTTGTCCCAGGAGAGAAGAAACATTCTAGTCATCAGAGATGTGGAGTCAAGGCTGAGAAAAATCTGAAAAAAAGTTAATTGTTAAATTAACTTGTATCTTTAGCATCCCAACACATGTCCACAACCGTCACTCTTAGTTCAACCTACTATAGAAGCATTTAGGTTTTGTCATGTCTTTGGGTCTTCATTTTCCTATGGGGGCTCCCATGTACATGTAAAAATCTGTGTACTTTTCTCTGTTTTTAGAGATAAGATCTCGCTCTGTTGCCCAAGCTGGAGTGCAGTGGTCCGATCATAGCTCACTGCAACCTCAAACTCCCAGGCTCACGCTCAAGCAATCCTCCTGCCTCAGCCACCCAAAATATTGGGATGGCAGGTGTGAGCCACCTTGCCCAGCCCTTTCTCCTGTTATTCTCACTTGTGTCAATTTAATTCTCAAACCCAGCCAGAGAGCCTAAGAGGGTAAAGGTAAAGTTTTGCTGCCCCTACAATTTTTTTTTTGTTGTTGTTGTTTTGTTTTGAGACAGGGTCTCTTGCTCTGTCACCCAGGCTGGAGTGCAGTGGCACGACCACCGCTCCTGCAATCTTGACCTTCCAGGCTCAAGTGATCCTTTCACCTCAGCCTCCCAAGTGGCTGGGACTACAGGCATGTACCACCATGCCCGGCTAAGTTTTGTATTTTTTGTACAGATGGGTTTTTGCCATATTGCCCAGGCTGGTCTGGAACTCCTGGGCTCAGGTGATCTGCCTGCCTCATCCTCCCAAAGTGCTGGGATTACAGCTGTGAGCCACTGCACTTGGCTTATTTTTTAAACAAAACAAAAAATCCATCCCAAAAAATTTGTAGCAAATCATTTGACAATTCATTTCACCACCTATAAAATAAGGTGTTTGGCCTAGAATATCTCTAAGGTTCCTTATAATCTAATATGGCATATTTTGCTTTGTTTTTTTTTTTTGCATATTTTGCTTTGAATGATGAATTATTATTTGCTCAGTCACTAGACAATGATTTTAGTATTTACGCTCTGGCCATTGTGCCATCACTGGACATAGAGTGGGGAACAGGAAAAATATGATTGTTCATTCACCTAGTTTATTGTCAATTGGAGAAATCAAGGGTGGGCACTGCTTGCTATAACCAATCAACTGCACAAAAATGATGAACATGTACCTGTTAGGACAAAGACAGTTTTCTCTGCTCGAGACAGATAAGCTCCATTTTTGTTGTTGTTAAAGTAATAAGGCTTTCCCTGTTACTTTGCAAAACAATTGGAGATCTAACTCAGAACGCTTCAATGAAGTCCTGAATTCCCTGAAATCAGATGGCCGCTAGTCACTCCCAGGATGCTGGAATGGTATTAAAATATTGCCTCTTGGCCGGGTGCAGTGGCTCATGCTGTAATCCCAGCACTTTGGGAGCCCACGGCGGGTGGATCACTTGAGGTCGGTAGTTCAAGACCAGCCTGGGCAACATGGTGAAACCCCATCTCTACTAGAAATACAAAAATTAGCCAGGAGTGGTGGCACAGGCCTGTAATCCCAATGGGAGGCTAAAGCAGGAGAATCGCTTGAACCCGGGAGTCGGAGGCTGCAGCGAGCTGAGATCATGCCACTGCACTGCACTCCAGCCTGGGTGATAGCGTGAGACTCCATCTCAAAAATCAATCAATAAATAAAATTTTTAAAAATATTGTCTCTTGAATCAAATATTCCAGATGGAAGCATGAGGATTTGTACCAGTTATTATCCATTTCTAGGCCTTTTACCAACATAACTTAGGACCATATAGGTGAAAACGGAATGAGGTTCTAAGGAAGGCATGTACTTCCCTTTCATCTTTACAACAGTTCTGCAAAGAAAGTGACATTATCTTTTCTTCTTAGCTGAGAAAACAGGCTCAGAGAGTGAAGTAATTTCATAAAAGTCATGTTGCTAGAAAGTAGTGAAACGCAGTAAACCCAAGTTTGTCTGGCTCCAAATGATTTCATTATTTTCACCACAACATGCTTCTTCCAGTGAGAGAAAGCTTTGAAGCCGTGTTTACCAGAGTCTGTTCTGTGAAGCACTAATAAGGCAAGATGTTACACAAGTGCAAATGGATGCCATGGTCAAGCAACTCTGGGGAATGCCAAGCATATTAAAGCCAGTGAAGTCTTACAGAAAATACATTTTTATTTTTATTTAATCAGCTTTTCCCCCAAACTCATTTGATTACCAAATCTAGATTTTTCTTCATTTAACACTTATTAACATCTCTTGAAACCAATTAAAATAATCTGGTATTTGCTTAGTTAAATGTCTGAAAGAAAGAAGAAAAAGGATTGAATGAGAGCTTTAAATTGGAAATTCAGTTTGCAAAGCAACTAAAATAAAAAACTAGCAGTTATGGGGGAAGCATTTTAAAAAGATACAGTCTGTGCTCCCAGTGCAGCTGGGAGATGGAGATGGTGGGTGGATGGAGAGAGTCAGAGGCAAAAAGGGAAACAGACATGAAACAATTCAGACAGCATATTTCGCTCAAGTTTTTAGTGATTCATGTGGGCTGAAGCTGAAGAAAAGATTGGGAAGAGGAAAGAGGCTTGAGCTGGCCCCTGAGGGATGTTAAGATTTACTCAGGGAGAGAAGAGGCTGGGAGACACTGAAAGAGAAAACAGGTTTGGAGAGTTAAAAAACAAAACAAAACAAAACAAAGCTCAGGAACTATATAGGGAAATAAAATACGACAGGTAGAGTTGGTCTAGATTATGGACAATTACACAGGCCAGGCCAGTGTCTCACGTCTGTAATTCCAGCACTTTGGAAGGCTGAGTCCAGCAGATCACTTGAGCCCACAAGTTTGAGACCAGCCTGGGTAACATGAAGAAACCCTGTCTCTACAAAAAATGCAAAAATTAGCTAGGAGTGGTGGTATGCACCTGTAGTCCCAGCTATTTGGGAGGCTGAGGTAGGAGAACTGCTTGAGCCCAGGAGGTCAAGGCTACAGTGACCCGAGATTGTGCCACTGCACTCCAGCCTGGGTAACAGAGCAAGACCCTGTCTCAAAATAAGTAAATAATAAAAATATAGACAATGATACAGAAATCATTCTGTTGATAATGATGGAAAGGATTAAAATCTGAAAGACTATGTAGACAGTCAATCTGGATAATATGTGCAATTAAAATAGATTTTTGAATTTCACAACTGGAAGGGCTCTTAGAGCAAAGTTAATAAATATCTGTCTAATGAATCAGTCAATCCCTTGCTCTACACATCTGATAACTGAAGCCCAGAGAGGTCACTTGATTTTCCTAATGTCACACAGCTCACTAGCAGCACACCTGAGTTGATAATTCATGTCTTCTGACTATCGAGAGGTACAGTACTCATGAACTGGGCATAAAACAGTGCCAAAGAAAGTGTAGAATATGGAGCATGTGACATAAATCAGCACATCCAACAGAGGGTGGTTTCTGTTTGAAGAGATCTCTTTAAAATAATTAAGACAACGAACCCCAAACCTCCTACTGCAAAAGCAGTACTCTTTTTAACTGTTTCTATCACAACTTGGTCCAATACCTTGTGCAAACAAACATGATATGTATGGAGGTTGCTGTTACTAAAGAAACAAAAATTACAGAAAAAAGAAAATTACATTTCCAAAAGGCAGCATTATCTCTGAAAGAATATGGGCCAGGCATGATATCCATGCCTGTAGTCCCAGCTGCTCGGGAAGCTGAGGTGGGAGGATAGCTTGAGCCTAGAAGTTGGAGGCAGCAGTGGCACTGATGAGGCCATAGTGCCTGCGAATAGCCATGCACTCCAGTCTGAGCAACACAGCAAGACACAGTCTCTACAAAAATAAAAATAGGCTGGGCATGGTGGCTCATGTCTGTAATCCCAGCACGTTGAGAGGCTGAGGCAGGAGGATCTCTTGAGCCCAGGAGTAGAGACCAGCTTGGGTAACACAGTGAGACAGTCTCTACAAAAAATAAAAAATAAGGCCGGGCGCGGTGGCTCACGCCTATAATCCCAGCACTTTGGGAGGCTGAGGCAGGTGGATCACGAGGTCAAGAGTTCAAGACCATCCTGGCCAACATGGTGAAACCCTGTCTCTACTAAAAATACAAAAATCAGCTGGGCATGGTGGCGCACACCTGTAGTCCTAGCTACTCTGGAGGCTGAGACAGGAGAACCTCTTGAACCTGGGAGGCGGAGGTTGCAGTGAGCCGAGATTGTGCCACTGCACTCCAGCCTGGTGACAGAGCGAGACTCCGTCTCAAATAAATAAATAAATAAATAAATAAATAAAATAAAAAAATTAATGGGACGTAGTGGCGCATGGTGGTCCATGCCCATAGTCCCAGCTACTTGGAGGGCTGAGGTAGGAGGATCATTTGAGCCCACGAGTTCGAGGCTGCTGTGAGCCTTGATTACACCACTGCACTCCAGCCTGGGCGACAGAGCGAGACACTGTCTCAAAAATAAAAAAATTTAAAAAGCACATATGAAAGGTAACAGAAAAGTAGAAACTTTCCTGATAAAAGAGCATCTTCTTAAAATCCCTACTCTACCTCATGTTATAATCCTTTTACTTACTACTTAGTATTAAGGATACGTTCCCTATCTGTTTGAAACATGTTTGGCGCTGGGATTTGCTTCAAAGGAAGATACTAACAAGAAATAAGAAATTCCACAATGAAAACCCGCGGTGACCAAAAAGATAACAGTGATTTGGGGTAAAATTTTGACTAAAAAGATTAGGCTAGGCTGCGCGAGCATTTTTGGCCATGAAAGCACAGGAGGATGCTAGAAAAAACAGCACCGTGGAAAAAGCGTTTCCCCAGAAGTCTGGGAGCCCACCTTTGGCATGAAAAGCGGGAGCACAGGTTGTAGTGAGCCAAGATCGTGCCACAGCACTCCAGCCTGGGCAACAGAGCAAGACTCCGTCTCCAAAAAAAAGAAAAAGAAAAAAAGAAAAGTGGGAGCACAGAACAGAAAATACAGAATGCAAGCTGCCAATTATGGGAGAAAGATTATCACTCGGCCCCCAGCTGGCAGGGCCACACGATTACGTGACAAGAGAGTCCGCCTGCAATCGCAGCAGGCGGCTGGCAGAGCCCGGCGCGACCCCCAGCGAAGACTACCACTCCCAACTGCGCACGGGGCGCGCCGCCGGGGCCGCCAGGGCGGCTTCACGCGCAAGGCACTGTGGGACTCGTAGTCTTTCTCCCCACCAGCTCCTCGGAGGCGGAGAGACCCGATTTTTTTGTAAATGATCCGCCCTTCCAGGCCCTGCTTCTCTTTCCTCCCTTTCCCTCCCACCTCCTTCTTTCACCGAGAGTTTGAAAATTCCCGCGGAGCCGGCGCTAGAGCGCGGAACCATCGCGAGAACTCTGGTCCCTGCAGCCGCGATCTCCCGCCGGTTCTCCCCTCCCTCTCCGCCCTTTCCTCTGCTCCCTCCCTTCCGGGGCGTGTGGAACTCGGTTTTGTCGGCGCAGGGTAATGCGCAGAGCGGGGCCGGCGCTGTCCGAGGCGAGCAGGCAGCGTTGCAAGGGGAAGGACCCAGAAGCGCGGCGGGAGCAGCGACTGCGTTTTAGCCGCTGAGCGGTCTGCAGGCCTACAGCCCGCGAAGGCACTCTCGGGGGCGTGTGGCTCTGAGGTGGCCGGGGAGGTCGCAGGCGGCGGCCGGAGCGCAGAGGAGCGGCTTCAGCCGGGCGGAGGGGTGTGAGCCCGGCCCGTGGCGGCCACGTCTCCCGGGAGATGCTGTGACGGACCCGCACGGGAGGAGCTCGCGCCTGGCCTGGCGACCCGGTGGACTCGGCCCGCGGCGGCGCGCTCACCCGCCCCGTTCAGGTAGGGGGAAGGGAGGGAGGGGGTTGGGCCCGCGCGGCGGAGGGCGGGTCGCGCGGCCTGGACCCGCGGCGGCGGCGGCGGCGGCGGCGGCGGCGGCGGGGCTTCTGCCCCGCGAGCGCCGGGCCTAGGCCGGGCGTGCGCGGGGCCAACGGATGGGGCTCGAGGGGGCGAGCGGTGGCGGTGGCGGGTACGGCAGGCTCGCGGGCGCCGGGCTTCGTTACATAATCTCGGACCGGAGGAGCGGCGGCACATGGCGGCGGAGCGGCGCTGGTGGTTCGCGTCCTGCGCCGGCAGTCGGGTCCCTTTACGGACGGCCGGGGCCGCGACCCTTTCCCACTGTTCTCCCACGCGATGGACTCGTTGGCGGGCCTTTCCCCGAGGGAAGCGGCCGGCGTGCTGAGCCTGTCCTGTGTTGGCGTGTGTTCCACATGCGCTTGGGCCTGGCCACAGTGAGTAGTCCTGGCGGGGAAGAAGTTGGACTCGGGGCTCAGCCGTGAGGTTCCAGCTCACCCGATTGGTCAGATCAAGGAGATTTAAAATAAAAGCACATCTTGGGGTGCTTTGCCTTCCTTTTTCCTACCTGGGAAACAGGACGGTTTCTTTTGCCACTGGTTGACTGTTTTGGTTTGGGTGTTTTGTTTTGAGAGATGGGGAAATTTTGTTCTCAAAGCTTACGAGGTTCATACTATCTGTGTGCAAAGTTTTATGAGATGAGCGTTATTTTTATTTCCAAATCGTCAGTTGTAGAAATTTTTGGAAGAACTGGGTTCTTCATAGAACAAAACGTAAATCCTTTGGGGAAATCCTAAACGATATTTATTCTCAGAATATCCTAAAGAACCTGTAGATTTTAAGAACTGTCTTTGGCTGGGCGCAGTGGCTCCTGTCTGTAATCCCAGCACTTTGAGAGGCTGAGGCGGGAGGATCGCTTGAACCCAGGAGTTTGAGACCAGCCTGAGCAACATGGCGAGACCCCCCCTTTTTTTTTTTTAAACTGTTTTTTTGTGAGCTTTCACTGATAGAGTCTCTTAGGAGAGAAGAAATTAGAGTGGTTTACTTATTTCGGAGGATTTGACCTGGGATGACAAGCCCAGTTAAGGTTAATACTTGAAGGGATGTTTTAAGTGTGCCAAGCGCTATGGGAAGTCTACGTTGTCTCTGTACTGTGATTTTTGGATCCTGATCCTTCAGTAACATACTACCAAGCTGTCACGAGTTTGCAAACAACAATAATTATCTTGAAAAAATTTTTAAAACATCATGTCAACCGGGAATTGGTGGCGCCTCTAGTCGCGCGCCTACTTGGGAGGCTGAGGCGGGGGGAACGTTTGAGCTTCAGCCTCAAACTGAGAGTTCGAGGGTTGCAGTGAGCTAGGATCGCGCCGCTGCACTCAGCCTGTGTGACAGAGCGAGAACCTGTTGCTAAAATAAAATAAAAAAGATCGTTATACATCAGTTTTGAGACTTTTGTTTTCTTTTTATGCTTCTCCTTTTTCATAGGTACAGATACATCTTTTTTTTTTTTTGAGACGGGGTCTTGCTCTGTTGCCCAGGCTGGAGTGCAGTGGCACAATCTTGGCTCACTGCAACCTCCGTCTCCCAGGTTCAAGCGATTCTCCTGCCTCAGCCTCCTGAGTAGCTGGGATTACAGGCGCACGCCACCACACCCGGCTAATTTTTGTATTTTTAGTAGAGACGGGGTTTCACCATATTGGCCAGGCTGGTCTTGAACTTCTGACCTCGTGATCCGCCCGCCTTGGCCTCCCAGAGTGCTGGGATTACAGGCGTGAGCCACCGCGCCCGGCTGGTACAGATATATTTTAAGAGGAAGCAAAACGTTGTGTCTTTCACGCCTACCTTTAATATTTTCAGGGACTTTTCTTTCTTCCCAGAATGAAGTGTAACTTCCCTCGGTTAGCTCAAAGGTCTCTACAATAAGTATATGCTACTGTCTATCCTCATATGTTAACAAATTTTATGCTTTTGCTATTCCAGAATCGTCATCAATCCTGGACTCATTCTGTGGAAGAGATGTTTCCACTCTGATGTTTCTTTGCTCATGTCCTTCATCCTGGAGTGCCATCTTTCCTTTTTTAAATACTCAAATTTCAGGTCCTCCTTCTAAATCCAATGTTTTCACTGTATTTTTATTTTTATTTTTATTTTTTTGAGACGGAGTCTCACTTTGTAGCCCAAGCTAGAGTGCAATGGCGTGATCTTGGCTCACTGCAACCTTCGCCTCCAGGGCTCAAGCGATTCTTGTGCCTCAGCCTCCCGAGTAGCTGGGACTACAGGAACGCGCCGCCACACTCGGCTAATTTTTTGTATTTTAGTAGAGACGGGGTTTCACCATGTTGCCCAGGGTGATCTCGAACTCCTGAGCTCAGACGATCTGCCCACCTCGGCCAACCAAAGTGCTGGGATTACAGGCGTGAACCACCGCACCCAGCCCACTGTACTCTTTTATTTCCCCTTATCCCACTTTTTTACTGGGATCTCACAGCATATGTACCTCTATTGTAGTAGCATTTATTCTTTGTGTCTGATACTCTGATAATTGACTATATATCTCCTTTTCTAGATTGTAAACTCCTTAAAGTCAGGAAGAAGGTTATCTTCTTGACCTTGCATTCCTTTACTAACACGGTGTTTTAAAAGTAGTTTGTGATTTTAAAATGTTTGAATTAAGTTGGTAAGAAATTTCTGAAAGGCTTGAAGTTTCTGGGTCCACTGGTAGTTTACATTTAAATGACAATTCGTCTTTTTATTAGTCAAAAAGAAAAAAAGTACCATTGCATACAAAGTGGTTTATAGAAATGTTTGCTTGGTACATGTTGCAATATAATTGTTGAACTAGATTAGAGTTCCATTTTCTGTGGTGGAATTCAGTTACTGCAGGAATTTGTGTATTTCACACAGAAAACTGATTTATAGTATTCTGTTTTTAGTATCTGGCCTAGTAATTTTAAGAATTTTGTTTTGTTTAATACTGAACCAGTGTATACTTAAAAATAATTGGGCCCAATCTTGAGTTTTAAAAAATTGATTTTATTGTTTAACATGCCTATTTCTTGTCTCTGCTAGTATCCTAATAATATCCTGCTATACAGTATCCTGTTATCCTAATTTATTACATTTAGGACCTGTTAGTCCAAAGGCACTGTGACCTTGTCGAATGCCCAGGAATAAGATTTGGTGATTTTTGCCTTTTAGGAATTCATAGTGTAGTGGAGAAGACAGGCAAGCAGAAGTAATTTTTTTTTTTTTTTTTTTTTGAGACGGAGTCTCGCTCTGTCGCCCAGGCTACAGTGCAGTGGCGCGATGTCGGCTCACTGCCAGGTCCGCCTCCCGGGTTCATGCCATTCTCCTGCCTCAGCCTCCCCAGTAGCTGGGACTACAGGTGCCCACCACCACGCCCGGCTAATTTTTTTTGTATTTTTAGTAGAGATGGGGTTTCACCGTGTTAGCCAGGATGGTCTCGATCTCCTGACCTCGTGATCCACCTGCCTTGGGATTACAGGCGTGAGCCACCGCACCCGGCCGAACAGTATTTAATTTAATTAATTAATTAATTTTTTGGTGGCGGAGTCTTGCTCTGTCGCCAGGCTGGAGTGCAGTGGCGTGATCTTGGCTTATTGCAACCTCTGCCTCCCAGGTTCAAGCGATTCTCCTGCCTCAGCCTCCCAAGTAGCTGGGACTACAGCGCGCTACCGCGCCCAGCTAATTTTTGTATTTTTAGTAGAGACAGGGTTTCACCATGTTGGCCAGGATGGTCTGGGTCTCTTGACCTTGTGATCCGCCAGCCTCGGCCTCCCAAAGTACTGGGATTACAGGCTTGAGCTACCGCGCCCGGCCATGAACAGTATCTTCATTCAAAGCCAGTAGAACGTTCCTGCTCTGCCTATCTAGCCTTTGGAAAGGAATTGAAACTTAGTAAATTACTTTTTATAGGTTGCCAGTGCTGGCATGTCATAAAAGGCTGGGATTCTGTTTAATTTTGTACAGTACTGAACGTAGGTGTTTCATGTGTGTTTGTGTTTTCATATACCTTTATATGAGATATTCTTTCTAATAATATAGTTTTTCTTTTTGAGACAGTCAGGCTGTGTTGCTGAGGCTGGAGTGTAGTGGCACCATCTCAGCTCACAGCTACCTCCACCTCCCCGGTTCAAGCGATTCCCATGCCTCAGCTTCCCAAGTAGTCGGGATGACAAGCGTATGCAGCCGTGGCTGGCTGCTACATTTCTTGTTTTTAGTAGAGACGGGGTTTCACCATGTTGGCCAGACTGGTCTCTAACCAACTCCTGACCTCAGCCATTCTCCCGCCTTGGCCTCCCAAAGTGCTGAGATGACAGGTGTGAGCCACAGTGCCTGGCCTATTTCTTTCTTTTTTTTTTTTTGAGACAGAGTCTCGCTCTGTCGCCCAGGCTGGAGTGCAGTGGCACGATCTTGGCTCACTGCAAGCTCCGCCTCCCGGGTTCACGCCATTCTCCCTCCTCAGCCTCCCGGGTACCTGGGACTACAGGTTCCCGTCACCACGCCCTGCTAATTTTGTTTCTGTATTTTTAGTAGAGACGGGATTTCACCTTGTTAGCCAGGATGGTCTCGATCTCCTGACCTCGTGATCCGCCCGCCTTAGCCTCCCAAAGTGCTGGGATTACAGGCGTGTGCCACCGCGGCCCGGCCATACACTTTTGTTTGTTTTGAGACTTGTTTGTTTTGAAACGGGGTTTCGCTCTTGTTGCCCAGGCTGGAGTGCAATGGTGCAGTGTCGGCTGACTGCAATCTCCGCCTCCCGGGTTCAAGTGATTCTCCTGCCTCAGCCTCCCAAAGTAGCTGGGATTATAGGCATGCGCCACCACACCTGGTTAGTTTTCTGTATTTAGTAGAGACGGGATTTCACCCTGTTAGTGAGGCTGGTCTTGAACTCCTGACCTCAGGTGATCCACCCACCTCAGCTTTCCGAAGTGCTGGGATGACAGGTGTGAGCCACCGCGCCTGGCCCCTATTTCTAATAATAGAGTGTTTCGATGTTCTCTGTAGTGTGCTTAAATTGGAAAAGTCTTAAAACCAATTTTGCCCTATAGATTCAAAGGCTGTTAAATTTGAAAAACTTTATTAAACATTTTTTTGAACTCCTTTGTGCTAGGCACCATGATGAAGTCTGGAGAAATAAGTACTCCTCTTTTCTAGAAGCTTGGATATGAAAGGGAGGAAGACAGAATATAGTAAAGCACAATGTTACATGTATTATTAAGTGCTAGAACCTGGATTCAAAGTTTGAATTAGAAATACGTTAGCCTGTGTTGCTATAAAGGAATATGTGAAACTGGATAATTTATGAAGAAAAGAGGTTTATTTTGCCTCATGGTTCTGCAGGCTGTGCAGGCATGACACCAGCAGCTGCCTACCTTCTGGTGAGGGTGTCAGGAAGCTTCCAATCATGTCAGAAGGCAAAGGGAGAGCAGGATACTCACATGATGAGAGTGGGGAGTGAGGAGGTACCAGGCCTTTTTTTTTTTTTTTTTTTTAAAGACAGGGTCTCACTGTCGCCTAGGCTAGAATTCATTGGTGCAGTTATGGCTCACTGCAACCTTGACCTCCCAGGCTCAAGCAATCCCAGTAGCTGGGACTACAGGCAGGCGCCACCACACCTGGCTAATTATTTTTCGTAGAGATGAGATTTCGCCATGTGGCCCAGGCTGGTGTCAAATTCCTGGGCTCAGTCAGTCTGCCTGCCTCAGCCTCCCAAAGTGCTGGGAGCCACCATGCCTGGCTTTAAACAGCCAGATCTCATGTGAATTCATTACTGTGGAGAGGACACCAACCCATTCATGAGGGGTCCTCTCCCATGACCCAGACACCTCCTACCAGGCCCCACCTCCAACACTGGGGATCACATTTCAGTATGAGATTGGGAGGGGACAGTTATACAAACCACATTAGGTTTATTTTTTATATTTTTAGAAACAGGATCTTGCCCAGGCTGGAGTGCAGTGGCCTGATCATAGCTTACTGCAACCTACAACTCCTGGTCTTAAGAGATCCTTCCGCCTGAGCTTCCCAGAGTGCTGGGTGTACAGGCATAAGCCATCATGTCTGGCCACAGTTTAAATACTGTGGCTTTATTCTCTTAGAGCTAGTACTTCTATATCATCTTTGTTTTGCATTCAAACAACATAACAAAACTCACCCAGCCTAAGAAATAGAACATTTACTATATTTCATTTTCCAAAAAATGCTTTTTGTGTGTTATCCTTTGGACTTTGGATTTTGTGAAAATCTTTCCAAAATTGTATTGAGATGATTTTGATTGAAGTATAGGGATCATGGAACTTTTTTGCTCATTATCCATTAGCACTCTTCTGAATACACTTTGTAAAAAGCTACTGCATGGAATTCTGAAGGTTTTGGTTCTGGTTGACTTACTTTGGTTTTAAGTTTAGTAGGAAAAATGTGTTAACTTCAGTTCATCATTAAACTAGTTTTATCAAGCTATATAAAAGGCTGTCAGAGGGGAAAACAACATAGTAACAATGTGATTCTGGCCTTTTCCATCTGTTTCTCTAAAAATTTTTTTGGTACTAAGCTACTTAGGAGATGAATAGGGTCCATTTGTGTATATAAGAGCAACTAAGGCTTGAGTATAGGACCCTCATGAGGGTTTTGTATTGGAGGCTAATGGTCATAGCTTCCTATTGATGCACACCTTTATATTAGGTTAGACTTTTGGATCTGTTTTGGATAATAAAAAGCAAACTTCTACTTTTGATGACTTGGAAATCTCAAACATAACTTTTTAGGTTTTGTGACTTAATGGTGACATATGTGATTAAGTTTTTGAGGCAGTCCATCAAGTTTTTGTCTAGGAGATAGCATTTATAGCCTGAACAGAAAATGATAACTCATATATTTTAATTTTTTGAGTGAATCTTTGAAATGTTTTTTTCACATAAATTTTTTTGGGGGAGGGGACTAAGATGTGGAGAGAATAAGAATGACAAGAAAGAACGTTAGGTTGATTTTTGCCTTGTTCCCATCCTAAGGCTACATAAATATGTACTGTATTTTTAAAGTTGCATTTTTATTTTATATATATATGTTTTAAAATTCTTTAATTATTGATTTTATAAGAAATCCAAGCCATACTGAAATGAGCAAATCACAAATTTGCATCACACAAAAATAAACGGCACTAATGTTTTGTGAATATTTCAGATATCTCTGTTTAAAGATAAACAGATGGAAGAATTCATAGAGATTATTGTATGAAATGCTAATTTTTAGAAATAGTTAATTTCATAAGAAAACTGAAAGGAATTGTTAAATTTATAGTAGTTCTTTTAATGTAAATATTTCTTTATAAATTTTTTAAAGTTAAACACATCTGTTAGAAGTGGCTGTTATCCTGTTATTTTACCACAGGTTTCAGTTTGATAGTATTGATTCTCTTCTGTGAGAATGGCTTGGGCTGGGTGTTGGAACTGAATGTAGTCCTTTCTGTACTCAATAGATAGGAGGGGGAGTGCTGAGAAACGGTAATGACTTGTACCTCGGATCTCTCTTTTGCCAGATTTATATTCTACGCCTTTGGGCCTTCACCTTTCTCCCAAAACAGCAGCACAGTTCCCTGAAACATGGCCCTCTTCTCAGGTCCTGTGGCATAGTATGTAGTTAGGGACTTCCAGACCTGGAGTTTTCCTGGGGTTATCTATTTCCCCCTTCATTTCACTTCACCCCACACACACTGAAGGATGTTAGAATTCTCTGGATTTTGTGAACTCACCTTCTTTCTTCTGTACCTGCTCCTGTGTGCTACGCGCACACACACACACACGCATGCACGCACACATTTCATTTGCTAGATACTAGGGGAGGAATGTAAAGCAATGTGTCACTTCCACCACTTCACTCTAGCCGTGTGTAATGTCTTTGCTGCAGATGAGTAGCACATTATACCAGAAATGTTGATTGAAGAGTCCACATGTCTGCTCTGAATTGAAATATCCAAATAGCTTTTTACCATCTGCTGAACTTAGTGATTCTGTGTCTAGATTATTTTATCTGTTTTGTTGACCTGTTTGTCCATTACTAGCCTATATCACATTGTTTCAGTTATTATAATTATTTTATGTATTTATTTATGTATTTATTTATTTATTTTTGGGACAGAGTCTTGCTGTCACCTAGGCTGGAGTGCAGTGGCACAATTTTGGCCCACTGCAACCCTTGACTCCTAGGTTCAAGCAGTTCTCATGCCTCAGCCTCCTGAGTAGCTGGGATTACAGACGCATGTCACCATGCCCAGCTAATTTTTGTATTTTTAGTAAAGATGGGGTTTCATCATGTTAGTCAGGCTGGTCTCAAACTCCTGACCTCAGGTGATCTGCCCACCTCGGCCTCCCAAAGTGCTGGGATTACAGGCATGGGCCACCGTGCCCAGCCTATCTTTTTTTTTTTTTTTTTTTTGGTATTATTTGATTAAATAACTTCTTCTTCATTCTCCTTTGGTTGTATTTAGTATTTGGCTATTAAGAATACTATTGATAGGCTATTAAGAATACTATTGATACTTTTTTTTTTTTTTTTTTTTTTGAGACAGAGTCTCGCTCTGTCGC
This sequence comes from Homo sapiens, assembly GCF_000001405.40. Taxonomy (NCBI): domain Eukaryota; kingdom Metazoa; phylum Chordata; class Mammalia; order Primates; family Hominidae; genus Homo; species Homo sapiens. The sequence continues at coordinate 246,922,959 of NC_000001.11, read as the reverse complement.
CCAGGCTAGAGTGCAGTGGTGCAATCTCGGCTCACTGCAAACTCCGCCTCCTGGGTTCATGCCATTCTCCTGCCTCAGCCTCCCGAGTAGCTGGGACTACAGGCGCCTGCCACCACGCCCGGCTATTTTTTTTGTATTTTTAGTAGAGACAGGGTTTCACCGTGTTATCCAGGATGGTCTCGATCTCCTGACCTCGTGATCCGCCCTCCTTGGCCTCCCAAAGTGCTGGGATTACAGGCGTGAGCCACTGCGCCCAGCCTATTGATACTATTGATAGGTGTCTCACACCTGTAATCCCAGCACTTTGGGAGGCCGAGGCAGGAGGATTGCTGGAACCCAGGAGTTCAAGACCATCATGGGCAACATAGTGAGACCTTATTTCTACTAAAAAAAAAAAATTAGCCAGGCATGGTGGCACGAGACGAGAGATTGCTAGAGCCCAGGAGATTGAGGCTGCATTGAGCTCTGATAATGCCACTGCACTCCAGCCTGGGTGACAGAGTGAGACCCTGTCAAAAAAAAAAAACAACCCAAAAAACCGCAACAGAATACTGTTGATATACAGTGTGCCTTCTTGCACGTGTCTTTTCCCTTTTATTTGAGACAGAGTCTTGCTCTGTCACCCGCGCTGGAGTGCAGTGGTGCAATCTCTGCTTACTGCAACCTCTGCCTCCTGGGTTCAAGCAATTCTCCTTTCTCAGCCTCCTGAGTAGCTGGGACTACGGGCACATACTGCCATGCCCGACTGATTTTTGTATTTTTAGTAGAGATGGGGTTTCACCATACTGGTTGGGCTGATCTTGAATTCATGACCTCAGGTGATCCACCTGCCTAGGCCTTCCAAAGTGCTGGGATTACAGGCGTGAGCCACTGTGCCCAGCCCTGTATATGTTTTCAACATGGATATGTAACAAAGTCTAAAATATACCAATGTATCTTTATTCTCTCAGGCAGTAAGAAGACTCTGTATGGTTTATTTAAACTCCACACAGCCATTATTATTGTTGTGTAGTCAGTGTTTAGATTTTTTTCTGTGTATATACCAGTACTTTGACATCATCATTCTTGCTGCCTCTCAGACCTTCTATCTGATCTCTATTCTACCTGAAGCCTTCTTGAATCCTTTAACATTTCCTTTAAGCAAACTTTTTTGTCTAAAAACATATTTCGTATTTGTTAAGGATCCTTTCAGTAATATATAATTATGTTGGCAGTTACTTTTGGTTAGACTTCTGAAGATATTCCAGAATTGCGGTTTCTACTACTGTTGTTGAGTCATTTCTCTTTTTTGGTAGTTCCTAGGATTCATTGGACTTCCTGACTCAGGGAATCGGTGTGTCTGTAAATCTGGGAAATATATTGCTTCTTCCTATTAGTACTATATTTTTGGGGGGATTCTGATTAGGCATATCTTAGATCTTCCTTATCTATAATTTAAAACTACTCATCCCTTTGTGCTGCATTCTGAATAAATTTTGGGGGCTTTCTAGTTTACTTTTTTACTTATCCTTTGAGTTTGTTTTTGTTGAGTATTAAGTAGGTACAAAATAATTTATTTGGTGAGTGGGTGCAAAAGAATATAAGCTAGAGAAGATCACGGTGCAGTGAATACCTGTGTACTCAGCACCAAGTTCTAGAGAAAGAACATTACCACTACTTCAGAGTCCCTCGTATATTCTTCCGCTTTCTCTCTCAAATCCACTGTGCATTCTGTGTTTATTTTTTCTTTGTTTTTTTCATAGTTTTGTCATGTTTGCATCCTTAAGCAATATTTTGCTTAGTTCTGCGTGTCTTTTTAACCTTATATAAATGTCATTTTGCGTGTATTTTCTGCTGCTTTTATTTTTATTATTATTATTTATTTATTGTGTCAGAGTTTCACTCTTGTTGCCCAGGCTGGAGTGCAATGCCGTGGTCTTGGTTCACTGCAACCTCCTTCTCCCAGGTTCAAGCGATTCTCCTGCCTCAGCCTCCTGAGTAGCTGAGATTACAGGCATGCGCCACCATGGCCAGCTGATTTTTTTTTTGGTATTATTAGTAGAGATGTGGATTCACCATGTTGGCCAGGCTAGTCTTGAACTCCAGACCTCAGGTGATCCACCTGCCTTGGCCTCCCACAGTGCTGGGATTATAGGCGTGAGGCACCGTGCCTGGATGCTTTTATTGTTTAATAATTTTTTTTTTTTTTTTGAGACAGTGTTTTGCTCTGTCACCCAGGCTGGAGTGCAGTGGTGCGATCTCGGCTCACTGCAAGCTCCGCCTCCCAGGTTCATGCCATTCTCCTGCCTCAGCCTCCCGAGTAGCTGGAACTACAGGCGCCCGCCACCACGCTCGGCTAATTTTTTGTATTTTTAGTAGAGACAGGGTTTCACCTTGTTAGCCAGGATGGTCTCGATCTCCTGACCTCATGATTCGCCGCCTCAGCCTCCCAAAGTGCTGGGGTTACAGGCGTGAGCCACCACGCCCGGCTGGTTTAATAATATATTCTGACATTCATTCATATTGTTGCATGTAGCTGTGATTCACTCTCATTGCTCCATTGAATTTTTATACCCATTGAGTTTTAGTTTTTATTTAATTTTTCATTTTTAGAAATTTTTTCAAATCTACTTGATTTTTCCTTTAACATTTACAGTTTCTTATCAAGCTAAATCGCTGATTTACACAAATATATTAGACATTTACTTTCTAATCTCTGGTAATTTCAATATCTGAAGTCCTCAGTCATCTGATTCTGCTGGCTATTGGATATCCTTGTGTGTTTTGTTATTTGGACTGTGAGCTTCTTTTCTTTTTTTTTTTTTTTTTTTTTTTTTTGCGGGGGACAGAGTCTCACTGTGTCGTCAGGCTGGAGTGCAGTTGCACAATCTCGGCTCACTGCAACTGCCTCCTGGGTTCAAGCAATTCTCCTGCCTCAGCCTCCTGAGTAGCTGGAATTACAAGCGTATGCCTCCACGCCCGGCTAATTTATTTTTGTATTTTTAGTAGAGACAGGTTTTCACCATGTTGTCCAGGATGGTCTCGATCTCTTGAGCTCATGATCCTCCTGCCTTGGCCTCCCAAAGTGGTGTTACAGGCATGAGCCACCCTGCCTGGCTCTGTGAGTTTATTTTCTTTGTTGCTTTAACTTTGAGAATTCTTTAAGAATTCTTTGAGATTCCAGAGGATATGTGGTTGTTTCCGTGGATTGCTTGGAGCAACGAACCTGAAAATAACTTGATAATAAATTCTTCTCTTGAGGATTTTTTTTTTTTTTGAGATGGAGTCTTGCTCTGTCACCGAGGCTAGAGTGCAGTGAGGCTCACTGCAACCTCCACCTCCTGGGTTCAAGTGATTCTCCTGCTTCAGCCTCCCGAGTAGGTGAGACTACAGGTGTGTGCCACCATGCCTGGCTAATTTTTTGTATTTTTAGTAGAGACGGGTTTTCACCATATTAGCCAGGATGGTGTTGATCTCCTAACCTTGTGATCCGCCTGCCTCAGCCTCCCAAAGTGCTGGGATTACAGGCGTGAGCCACCACGCCCGGCCTCTTGAGGATTTCCATATAACCTAGCTTGAATTCTGGCCACACATTTGTATGAAAGAAAATGTTGTCTTTCTGAGTAAGAGACTCAGAGCCATGGTCAATGTGGACAGCTTTATTGTACCCATCCTGTACAATGGGTATTGTTCTTGCTCACCTTTAGGCTGATGTAGCCTAGTGGAGTTTAATGGGGTTGAGGGATGAGCTTATTAGTTCTCTTTGTCCTAGGCTTAATCTTTTGCCCCTGGATCTTAGAGTGCCCAGAATAAGATCAGGGTTCCCAGGACTGGATTTCATAGCTAACCAACTCAGATGGCTAAAATCTTTCTGTATTTTAACTAGTATTTTTGGTTGTTTATAATGGGAGTAGTCATTCTGGGAATCTGATCTTCTAAATGAAAGACAACTTTATGCCTATATTATTTCTATCCTGCAAAAGATATGTACCAAACTTGATTTCTGGGGTTTCTGTGAATTTATACATTTTTCTTGGACTTTCTCCCCCTTTACTGAAGAAGTGATTTTTCTAAAAGACACCAATCACTTTTTCTTTTTTCTGTAGGGAGGATGGTGGTGGTGAGGTGTTCTTTGCAAGGAGGTTAGACAATGAGATGAATTGCACTGAACTAGTGTTTAAAGAATCTAGGGAATAATGTATATCCTTAGTACGTCTGGCTTAATGAATGTTTACTTTCCTAAAGCTGTTTGGGAAATACTTTCTTAGGAGACAGTAGAATACCTTGGTCCCAGATGCATGTCATTTGTTTTTAAGACTGGATTTTGCTCTGTCGCCCATGCTGGAGTGAAGTGGCACAATCATAGCTCACTGGAGGCGCAGCCTCGAACTTCTGGGATCAGTTCATCCGCCTGCCTCAGCCTCCCAAGTAGCTGGGACTTAAAGGCGTGAGCCTCCGCATCTGGCCAATATGTATTTTGTAACCAGATTTTAGTTTTTCTTTATTTTGTTGGTGGCTTTTACTGTTTTTCCTGGCTGGACATAATCAAGTATATTGTCTACAAATGTGTCATAATAATGTTTTCTTTTAAAAATATTTACAGTGGAAGTATGCGAGACTTAAGAGCTCAAGTGACTAGTGGTCTCCTGCCATTTCCAGAAGTGACTCTTCAAGCCCTTGGAGAAGACGAAATAACATTAGAATCTGTGCTTCGTGGAAAGTTTGCTGCAGGTAAACATAATGTCACTGAACATTTACTAATACAATTGATTTGTAAGATAAATAATAATAAGTATATATTATAGTTTCTTTATGTGGAAGAAGAAAAAGCAGAACCTGAGTGATCTTAAATATGTAACATCTACAGTTACATATATAACATCTATAAGCTCTTAAACATGTTATCAGTGAACCTCTGATTGGGGGGGTTATAGTTAATTTTTCCTTATTAAAAATCTCATGTGTTTTGTATCTTAGTATTATCTATGTTTGGGAAGTAGAAGTAACATGCAACTAGTTTTTCCTTATAATTAGGAAGTTTTATTGGTGATGAGTTTGGATTAGAACCTGAACAGTGTCATGAGTAGAAAAGTCCAGGGCCCTAGATGTTATAAAATTTTCAGAAAATCTCGTTTTCTGATTTCATTTACCTGAATAAGATCTTAATGTGTAACTTAGATTGTGTAATACATCAGAGAACCATACTAAAGAAGGCTTTCTCTTATGGATCTTGTTCTAATGAAAGATATTGCAGAAGACTTTTCTGAATATAAGCTTCGTAGCCATCTTCCCAGCAGGCAGAGAGCAAAACATATGTATCAGTCATTTCTCTCTTGACAGCGCCATTCTCTTGAATGTTAAAAGGAACAACAGTACTTTCTATATGCCAGGCATTGTACGATGACTTCATTGGAGTGGTGTAAAACTTTTTTCTAAGTAGCCACTATTCTGTGTAACTGAGAATGAAATCATTTATTTGATCCCAGTTATACAGGTAAGTGGCAGAAAGGATCTTGGAACCTTGGCGTTCTCAGACCCCACTGTACCATGCTACTTTCTTAAACTGTGGCCTCCCTTAGCTATAAACTTACATATCCAACTAATGTACTTGGATGCTTGATGGACATCTCAAATTTAGAAGTTACCATTCATCTGGTTGCTCAAGCAGAAATTCGGAGTCTGTACTTGATTCTTGTTTTACTCACCTCCCTGTGTCTCATTCATCAGCAAGGAAATCCAATTAGTTCTCCCTCTAAGTTGAATCTCCAGTCAACCCACTTTTCTCTATTCGGTCACCTAGCAGGTGTCGTCTTCCACCCAGTGCGGCTACTCTGTGCTTCTCCTTGTCCATTCTTTGCTTAGCAGCTGGAGTAACATTTAAAAACATGCATAAATCAGATAGTTACTGACTTGATTTAAATCAGATAGTCACCTCTATGACTTTACATTGCAGGCAGGGTAAAATCCAAACATGACTAATAGGCGGAGAAGAGGTTCTGAGACTTCCTATCATTATGCTAGTTATGTCTTAATTTCTTAATTGGACTGTGAACTCTTTAGGGATAGAATAATATGTTCTATTTTATAACTGCCATAACTTCTAGTTTAAATCGTTTAAGCCTTAGTAGTTAAAGCATGAGTTTTGGAGTTAAACAGGCTTGGGATCTACTTCTGCCTGTGCTACTTTTTGACTTTGGGAAGGTTAAACAGTATTCAGGTTTAGCTGCCTTATCTCTACATTGAGGTGTGATAAGGAATAAATGAGATAACATTCAAGCACATACCATGGTGGTGGCTTTTACTGAATGACTATTATTATTATTATTTGAGATGAAGTCTTGCTCTGTCACGCAGGCTGGAGTGCAGTGGCATGATCTCGGCTTACTCCAAGCTCCACCTCCCAGGTTCACGCCACTGAATGACTATTATTATTGTAATGATAGTTGCTTGATTAAAAGATTTCAATGTGGAGATAATATGTAAAGTTTTATGTAATGAACATATAGTTGTATGTAAATGAGCTAACCGTTATTGCATGTTTTGTGTATATACAATATTAAAATAGGCAATTTTTTTTTCTTCTAGGGAAAAATGGACTTGCTTGCTTGGCTTGTGGTCCACAACTTGAGGTAGTAAACTCTATAACAGGAGAGCGATTGTCTGCTTACAGATTCAGTGGAGTCAATGAACAGCCTCCTGTAGTTTTAGCTGTGAAAGAATTCTCTTGGCAGAAGAGAACTGGATTATTAATAGGATTGGAAGAAACAGAAGGGAGTGTTCTCTGTCTTTATGACCTTGGAATATCAAAAGTAGTTAAAGCAGTTGTTCTTCCTGGAAGGGTAGGTACTGTTTAAGATACCTGGACATTTCTCTTTCAAAACTGAACCCCTGCTGGTTATATAGGTGTGTTACTTTTTGAAATTTCACTGACCCGCAACATTTACAATTTGTATACTTTTATGTAAATGTGTTACTCTTAGGTAAAGTGTTTAGAATAAAAATGAGGTTAAAGATGATATGTTATTCAAGGAACTTAACATTTAAAATGTAACTTTCTTATTGGTTAAAACGTTCCAGAGTAAAAATAGCAATGACATGTAATGTTCTGATACTCTTTTTTTGTGAAAAGTATCATCTAAATCTTGTTCTTATCTCCAGTTGTGTTCTATGAGGACACTCGAAGTTTATAAAAATGTATTCATTACTATTCAATTTTTAAAATGTTTTTACCTTTTAAATTTGCGACAATAGTCTTGGATTGGAGCATTATGGAAAATATATGTTAGATTCCCAGGATGAATAAATTGAACTTGGTCTGTGCTTTTAGAGAGCTTATAGTCTAGTGGGAGAAGACAAATGAATAAGACTAGCATAAATATAGTGAATACTTTAATAAATTTAAGCACTTGGAACATGTAGAATGGGTAATTTCTAGTCAAAAGAGTTGGACATTTTAGATAAAGAGACTAGCATGGAAAAATAGTAGTACAGGGAGCATTTGGGAAACTAGACTTGATTTAGAATGGCTGAGGGAGGGATGAGGGGAAGGAAGAATAGGGGGCCAGAAACGTTAGGTTTTAGATTGTGAATGGCCTTATTTGTAATGAGGGGCTCCTTTGAAATCAACGGTGAAGTAATTTTTTTTTTTGTTTTTGAGACAGAGTCGCTCTGTCAGCAGGCTGGAGTGCAGTGGCACGATCTCAGCTCACTGCAACCTCTGTGTCCCGGGTTCAACCGATTCTCCTGCCTTAGCCTCCTGAGTAGCTGGGACTACAGGCGTGCACCACCACGCCCAGCTAATTTTTGTATTTTTAGTAGAGATGGGGTTTCACCCTGTTGGCCAGGCTGCTCTCGATCTCTTGACCTCGTGATCCACCTGCCTTAGCCTCCCAAAGTGCTGGGATTACAGGCATGAGCCACCACGCCCGGCCAGTGGTGAAGTAATTTTAAGTAGAACTCTCATGTAAAAGGCTTGCTTGGATTGGGTCAGCGAGGATATTGTGAGAATAGAAACAAGTAGACTATTGCCATTCAGGTAAATAATGATGAGGAGCTGAACCAAGGAAATGACAGTAGAAATGGAGAAGATGGGGCAGATTCAGAACACATACAGAAGGAAACATGGACACTCATTGATCATTTGGATGAGGAATTGAGAAGAAACAAGGTTCCTGAACTGGTTGCTCAGTTGAATGCATGGTTGGTGTATGGAAGAGAGAATATAGAATAAGGAAAAGATGGGGGAGTAGCGATAGACACTTTCAAAAGTTCAACCTACTAGCTGTTTTTTGGGTAGGGTGCAGTATACACTCATTATGTTTATTTTTGTCTTCTAAAATTAAGGTAATAGTATTAATCACTTCATATAGTATTTTTATGAGGAATGTAAACTTAGATTCGCTACTCCTCACTGAGGAATTGAATATGCTTTAGTATTTATAGACATTATTACAGTAATTAGAAAAGAAAAAGTGATGAAGTTACAGCTTTCAGAATTAGAAACACTGAGTAATGTTTTGTATACTGATATAGAGAAAGAGCCAGGCTTTTGTCTGTAGTAAGTTACAGCCTGAAACAACTTTTAGTCTTTTTAACACATGAATCATTGATATCAGATATTTTCTTTTCTTGCCAGAACATTCATCAGTACAGGTTGAGAATCCCCTGTCCAAAATGCCTGGGACTAGAAGTGTTTTAGATTTTGGACTTTTGGATTTGGATGTTCAACCTGTATTAGCGTAGAAATCACCAAACATTTTATCATATATCATACCTAATTAATTTTTATGAATTAATAGGAAACTGAAGGAAAGACAAGTATAAAATATGGATGACTAGTTATAGACATTTAAAATTTGACTCATGAGATGAAGGGGAAAAATATGACTCCATAAAATAGCTAAAGTATACTTTTCTTTAAATAATAGCAATTCTTGTTAAGTGTCAGTGATCCAGTGACTGCCAGAGCTTTATATGAAGTCCAATAGAAAGAAGGTTAGACCTCTTCAGTCTTTAAGGTATAAAGAGGACTTAAAATATCTTTTTTGTTGTTTTTTAAAGAGTAAACAGTAAATTTTTCTGGAATGATTAGTTTTTACTCTTAGGAGAAGAGGCCATAGAATCCTAGAGTAGCTGTTTAAGAGCTTTAAAATGAGAACAATTTAGGTTTGCGTTTTATGCGTAATGATTTTATGGCTTGAATAACTAGACTGACTTTCTAAGCCTCAGGTTATTTCATCTTTAAAGAGAAGTACTCACACATAGTCTACTATCAAAGCATTGTCATGAACATTGAATGAGCCAGGTAACACAATGCCTGGCGTATCAGTAAGCTCTCAGTCAACATCAATTGTTAGTCCAACTGCGTGATTTTTCTATGTATTGAGTAATGGTGTAATTCCTAGTATAGCTGAAGATTTCATTATTCAGATCACAAGTATCAAATGCAAATTTACTCTATAGTCTTAAATCTATTATAACTGATAACCTGCTTTAACTTAAATTTATTGTGTTAATTATATTTTCTTACTTTGCAGAAGAAAAGCAAATCACGTATTATGTTTTCTAGGTAACAGCTATTGAACCTATAATTAATCATGGAGGAGCCAGTGCAAGCACTCAGCATTTACATCCAAGTCTGCGATGGCTTTTTGGAGTGGCAGCTGTGGTCACTGATGTTGGACAGATCCTTCTTGTTGACCTATGTTTGGATGACTTGTCATGCAATCAAAATGAAGTTGAAGCATCAGGTAATCAGTTCTTTACTTGAAACCAAAAATGGAGCACCTGGATATTCTGATGCAATATTTTTTAAAGTAGCCAAATTTTTTTATAGCAGCTGGAGTAAAATAAAAGATATCTTCCTATCTATAAAAAAAAAAAAGGTATTTTAAAATCTTTTTTATTGTCTGGACCTGAGCACAGTGGATACTTCTTGCATAAGATACTGTTTTGTTGATCAGGTGTTCATATGTTCTCAAGTAGGCCTTGAGAAAGGTAGTGATAATTGATTTTATTTGTTTTCATTTACATACCTGAATAAGATCTATTCTTAAGTAAATGCTGGAATAAGGGCTAAATATAAGAAATCTTGAGCCTTATCAGCCAATATGAAATTACCCAGCAATGTAGGATCTAACATAGTGTTCTTGGCATATTGTTTATGTTTGTGTGGTAACACCAAGATAGAAATAAAATATTAGGAAATAACAGTAACTAAAAGTCTTTCTCACAAAATAACATCCTAAAATAGAAGTAATTCTATTCAGATTCAAAGAAAATGAAATACTTTTTCTCCTTTAAATGCTTGTATTTATAAAATTACTTTTTTCCAAGTGCTTTCAGTTTTTGAAAATTGTGAGTCTCTGGTTTATGAAGAAAGGAAGAGCTAACCTTAAAATGTGTTTTTTACTCTTAATTTTTAGAAAAGGAGTATTTGACCCGAAAAAATTTTGACTTTGGCTTTGTGAGGACGTTCTTGGTTTTGTTTTTTTTTTTTGGAGACGGCGTCTCGCTCTGTTGCCAGGCTGGAGTGCAGTGGCGTAATCCCTGCTCACTGCAACCTCCGCCTCCCGTGTTCAAGCAATTCTCCTGCCTCAGCCTCCTGAGTAGCTGAGATTACAGGCACACGCCACCATGCCTGGCTAATTTTTGTATTTTTTTTTTTTTAGTAGAGATGGGGTTTCACCATATTGGCCAGGATGGTCTCGATCTCTTGACCTTGTGATCCGCCCGCCTTGGCCTCCCAAGTGCTGGGATTACAGGTGTGAGCCACCACACCCGGCACATTCTTGATTTTTAAAGCAAGCCTAGAATATCAGTGTAGCTCTTTTCATTTATGGAGCAGCTCAGAAATAGATACAAACTATCAACATTTTATGTAGTTTATAATGAACATAACTAATAAAAATTGTCAGTGTATAAAAAAACCGATTAAAACTGCCAGTGGTGGAAGCGGGAGGGGAGGCTGCAGTGAACCGAGATCACGCCACTGCACTCCAGCCTGGGCGACAGAGCAAGAATCCATCTCAAAGAAAACAAAAACAAAAAAACTGCAAGTGATAAAAACTATACTTAACAAGAAATGGAAGAGCCAAAATCATCTGAACAAAACTTAAATATGCAAAATCAGACCTGAAAAAATTTGATTTGGCAGAAATAATGGTCATACATGCACTTTAAAATATCTTAATAGAAGAGCTGGGCGCCGTGGCTCATGCCTGGAATCCCAGCACTTTGGGAGGCCAAGGCGGGTGGATCACTTGAGGTCGGGAGTTTGAGACCAGCCTGACCAACATGGAGAAACCCCGTCTCTACTAAAAAATATAAAATTAGCCAGGTGTGGTGGCGCATGCCTCTAATCCCAGCTACTCAGGAGGCTGAGGCAGGAGAATCACTTGAACCTGGGAGGTGGAGGCTGCAGTGAGCCGAGATTGCGCCATTGCATTCCAGCCTGGGCAACAAGAGTGAAACTCCATCTCAAAAAAAAAAAAAAAAAAAAAGAATCTTCATAGATAGACACTATACCTTAAAATTTGGTATGTATACAAACCTGATTGATTAATAAAATTTTTATGTGAAGTTTAAATGAAAAGAATTGATGAGCAAAAGCAATAACTAAAAATGAATTTATAGATTATCAGAAATAGTTTGACTGCTTTTTATGGAACATTAATCAAAGAAGTAGGCTTGATAGGCTTTTGTTTCATAGTGTATTTTGTGGTTATAGGTGTAAGGCTAATTAAAATGCTTATATTCGTAATTAAAACTCCCTTCAAGTCAATATGGTGGCGTTAAAACATCCTTCATTTCAGAGGTCAGTAATCAGTAGGTGCACAAGGATAATTTTATAACGAAAGTCTCTGGATTGTGATCAGAACCATTTCTCAATTTTGAGAATTGGAAGCAGTTGGACTTTATAGCACAAAAAATTAAGCTTTAGGGTTTAATGCAAAATAAATTTTATTGATTACAAAAGTAATTTATGATTACAACTGTTTAGGCTTCACTGAAATACACCAAGGTAGGAAATGAAGTTCCAAACATACAGCATAAATATTGTTCTGCAGCTTCCCCAGACTTAACCGGTTTCTTATACATCTTTCCACATCAGAACACATAGGGCTTACCCATTTCTTTTGAGTAAATTTGTAGTATCCCATTGTGTGAACTGTTTGTTGTGGCAAAATCTAATCTCTTCTCTGAAAAAGACATCAGAAGCAGAAGTGATTTGGGGGTGGGGGCCCTGTTCTAGGACAGTGTGATATGATTTTTCCCCCTTTATAACAATGAGAGAATCTGCTCTTGCACAGTGGTTATATTAATATATGAGTCTGAGTTTTTAAATTTTTTTATTGAAGATTTCAGACATCTTCAGATAGTTAGAAGAATACAAGAGTTCCCATAAACCCATCACCCAAATTCAAGTTAATTTTCAACATTTGCTATATGTGTGTCTGTTTAGTTCATTCCCCTTTCCTCCTTTCCCTCTTTTCTTCTGTGTTAGTTTAAAGCAAATAGGGATATTTTATTACATAATCATAATGCCAATAACACTTCTTTGGTATAGTGTGTTATCTAGACTATAATCAAATTGATGTGATTATCCAAAGCATCTTTTTACATTTGGATTGTTTGGATTGGAATTCAAATACAGTCTGCACATTAATTGCATTTGACAGTTAAGTCTCAAGTCTCCTTGAACGTACAGCAATCCTCTTTCTGTCCTCTCTGTTTTTATTTTTAGTGCCATTGACTTGCTGAAGTTATCTGATAGAATGTTCCACATTTTGGAATTAACTGTGCTTTCATGTGGTATCATTTTCGATTTTCTGCAAATTAAATTAGCTCTGGTTATAGATGAAGGTTTAGTATTTTGGCAAGGTAGTTTGGAAGTGCTGAGTACTTCATATTGTATCACATCAGGAGACACATAGTGTCTAGTAGTTTCAATTAGTGATCAGTGGATTCACATGGTGACAGCATGATCCTTCCTTTTTAAAGTCTGTCATCAACTTTAAACTAGTGGTTCTCAGCAGGGGGTGAATTTTGTCCTCCAGGAGATGTTTGGCAATGTTAGAAGACATTTTTGATTGTTACTGCTGGTGCTACTTGCTACTAGTAGTTAGAGACTAATGATGTGGCTTAGCGTCCTACAGTGTACAGGATAGCCCTCTGCAGGGTAGTTCCCCCTTATCTGCGAGGGATACATTCCAAGAACCCCAGTGGATGCCGAAACCACAGCTAGTACTGAACCCTGCACACATTATGATTTTTCCTTATTAAATCAAGAACTTTGACCTCTTCATTTAAAGGAAGCACTTTACAGCTTCTCTTTGGCATATCTGAATTGCCAGCATGACCACTCTTGTGCTTTGAGGCTGTTAAGTCAAATAAGGGTTACTTGAACACAAGCACTGCAATACTGCGACAGTTGATCTGAGAACCAAGATGGCTACTAAGGGTGGCTTATACAGTGTGGATACACTGGACAAAGGTATGATTTATGTCCCTTTGATGGTAGCAGATTTCATCATACCACTCAGAGCAGCATGCAAATTTTTTTTTTTTTTTTTTTTTTTTTTTTTGAGAGGCTGGAGTGCAGTGGCGCAATCTCGGCTCACTGCAACCTCTGCCTCCTGGGTTCAGGTGATTCTTCTGCCTCAGCCTCCCAAGTAGCTGGGACTACAGTTGCACACCACCATGTGCGGCCAATTTTTTTTTTTTTTTTTTTTAGTAGAGCCGAGGTTTCACCATATTGGTCAGGCTGGTCTTGAACTCCTGACTTCATGATCTGCCTGCCTCAGCCTCCCAAAGTGCTGGGATTACAGGCATGAGCCACCTCACCTGGCTGAATTTTATATATATATAAATAGATAGATAGATAGATAGATAGATAGATATAGATATATATAGATATAGAATTATCTGTTTAATATTTTTGGACTTTGGTTTACTACAGGTAACGGAAATTGGAGAGTGAAACTGTAAATAATGAGAGGGAATACTGTAATGCCAAAATTATAAAACCTTACTTTGAGCTAATTGTTTCATTCATTAAGATTCTTTTTTTTTTTTTTCTTTTGAGACGGAGTCTTGCTCTGTCACCCAGGCTGGGGTGCAGTGGCTCAATCTTGGCTCACGGCAAGCTCTGCCTCCCGGATTCACACCATTCTCCTCCTGCCTCAGCCTCCCCAGCAGCTGGGACTACAGGCGCACGCCGCCATGCCCGGCTAATTTTTTTTTTTTTTTTTTTTTTAGTAGAGACTGGGTTTCACCGTGTTAGCCAGGATGGTCTCAATCTCCTGACCTTGTGATCCGCCCACCTTGGCCTTCCAAAGTGCTGAGATTACAGGCGTGAGCCACCGTGCCCGGCCTAAGATTCTTGGATAAGTCCCTTATTTCATTAAGGGCTGCAAAATGATGATTTTTATGTTCTGTCAATGTAAAGAATAATTTTCTCATTAATTAGGGCTTTCTGGTCACTCTGAAACACAATGTCTACAGAACAGGCAGGATAAATGTTTAGTGTTTCTTAAGTACTAATTTTCAGAGTAAGCAGGTGATACCTAGTTACTCCAATTGTTCAATATAAGGTCTTTTGTAGGTGGGGAGGGTAGGCTTCCCCCTTGCCCCACCCCTCTTTTTTTTTTTTTTTTGTATCCCTGTGAATTTTTCAGGTTTGGCATATTTAATGTGTTTCATTAATTTTATTGTTTTTGATGCCCAAAATGTCCTGTCATTGGTAATGAGAGCCCCTTCATGTTGTCTGATACATTCCCTTTCATCTGTGATAGCTTCCTAGATTATTGGCATAAGATGTACCAGGCTCATTTTATGTATTTTCTTCCCCCTGACCCGGAATCAGCCATTGCTCCAAGGAAGGTATTTAGGTAGTAGTTCTAAATTTCAATAAAGAAATAAATCAGTTTTATTTATGGTTGTTAACCCTAAAAAAATTCTATCTTAGATAATATTTGAGATGTACTGAGAGAATTTTTAAATATTATATAATTGAATGTGTTTTTTAAATTGTGGCATTTAAATAGATAAGGATGGCAATTTTCTAGTTTAACATACTTTTTTGTTATCACTAATCTTTTAATTTCAATTAACTTCATTTAACTCAGTTGACTTCATTTGCAGCTTGAATAATGGATGACATATTTGCTTTTAATGCTGTTTCTAGTTTTTTAACTTCATTTGTCTAATTTGTGGTTTTAGATCTTGAAGTTCTAACTGGTATCCCAGCTGAAGTACCACACATTAGAGAAAGTGTAATGAGACAAGGGCGCCATCTGTGTTTCCAGTTAGTAAGTCCAACAGGAACAGCTGTTTCAACTCTTAGTTACATAAGCAGGACAAATCAGCTTGCTGTAGGTTTTTCTGATGGCTATCTAGCACTTTGGAACATGAAAAGCATGAAAAGAGAGTAAGTATAACTTTTTTCCCTTATTTGATTATAGGTAGTTTTTTTGCATATAGCTTGTACTCATTTACTAATATTTGAAAGTTAGCATAGTGAGAAAAGGGTGGGTAGATTAATGATTGAATGAATGATTGAGATGACTAATTTTTCATGGCATTAAATCAATGTGAATACCATAAAGGAGTGACTTAGCACATGAATTTAGCTTTATTTTTTTTCAGTGTTTATTTAAAAGGCATTACAGTCATGTGTTTAACATGCTAGTAAAGCATGACTTTGTAACTTTACAACGTTTTGGTCAACAACAGTCCTTATGTAAGAAAGGGGTCTCATAAAATTTTACTGTATTTTGATTGTACCTTTTTAATGTTTAAGATACCATTGTGTTATAGTTGCCTGCAGTATTCCATACAGTAACATGCTGTACAGGTTAGTAGACTAAGAGCAACAGGCTATACCATCTAGCCTAGGTATATAGTAGGCTATCTCATCTAGGTTTGTGTTACTAGACTGTATGATGTTTGCACAATGACTGAATCCCTGACGAGCATTTCTCAGAACAGATCCCCTTTTGTTAAGTGACACATGGCTGTGTTTGTATAATATGAGTTCTTTCAGAAGTACCTTCCTAATCATCATCTGTGTAAAGTAACAGCTTAATAAAGAATTCTCAGTTGAGAGGGAAAAAAAAGGATTTTTAAAAATCAAAGTTACAAAATACTTGTGTTTTAAATTTTTTCTGCTGTCAAAAAGTCCCCAAAATATAATTATATTGATACTTTGTAGCTAAGTTAATTTGTGTTAAGCGTTAAATAGATGCCTATTTGGCCCTTAAGTTGTCAATTTATTTGTTTCTCCATTTTTCCTGAGGCATACTGGTATATTTTATTGAGTAATTTATCTTATAGGAAGTGTATCTCAACTCTCTTTGCTGTTATCCTTTTATCAGCTCTTTTTTTTCTATTTTTTTGGGGGGTGGGGTCTCACTCTGTTGCCCAGGCTGGAGTGCAGTGGCACGATCTTGGCTCACTGCAACCTCCACTTCCCAAGTTCAAGTGATTCTCCTGCCTCAGCCTCCCAAGTAGCTGGGATTACATGTGTGCACCACTGAACCCAGCTAGTTTTTGTATTTTTTTTTTTTAGAGACGGATTTTCACCTTGTTGGTCAGACTGGTCTCGAACTCCTGACCTTGTGATCCACCTGCCTCAGTCTCCCAAAGTGCTGGGATTACAGGTGTGAGCTACCACGCCCGGCTGCCAGTTTGTCAGCTCGTCTTTGAATTTGCTCCTAAAGAAATACCTGCAGTACCTGGCTTCTACAGCAGTGCTTTCTCTAACACTATCATCTCTTGGTCAATTTTTGCTTTTTTAGCAGTTTATGGGAACTCTTCAGTTTCTAACTCATCTTCTGTTGTAGTAGTGGGGAAACTGATGCTAAACCCAAACAGCTGAAAAGTCTCGTGGCAGTATCTCGTCTCTTTGTAGGGCATCTTTTATGGTTGAGCAGTATGTAGGAGTGTACATCAAATATGACTCTTAGGACCAGTTTACACAGACATGAATGCATCCACTTGAGTAATTCTAACACTCCCCAGTTCTACCTCTTGGGCATTGAATATGACTCTTAGGACCAGTTACACGCACACATAAATGCATCCGCTTGACTGCATCTGAGTCTTCCCAGTTCTGTCTCTGGGGGATGGGTGCCATGACCATAGTCTTGATGTCTTGTGCCGTGTGTATTTTTGCAGATAAGATGACTTGGCCATGGCCCACAGATCACTTATTCTGGGGAAGTGTAGGAACAGTGGTTGCCTAACCCAAGTTCTTACATGATGTACCTTTTTCCTTTCTAAAAAATAACTTAAAAATATGAAATATACTAATTTGTTTCAGATATTACATACAATTGGAAAGTGGACAAGTTCCTGTATATGCTGTCACTTTTCAAGAACCTGAGAATGATCCTCGGAATTGCTGTTACTTGTGGGCTGTTCAGTCTACACAAGATAGGTAGGTCTCATACAAACTTTGTTTTGTTTTGTTTTGTTTTTTTGGAGACAGAGTCTCGCTCTGTTGTCCAGGCTGGAGTGCAGTGGCGTGATTTCGGCTCACTGCAACCTCCGCCTCCCGGATTCATGCCATTCTCTCGCTCAGCCTCCCGAGTAGCTGGGACTACAGGTGCCTGTCACCATGCCTGGCTAATTTTTATATTTTCAGTAGAGACGGGGTTTCACCATGTTGGCCAGGCTGGTCTTGAACTCCTGACCTCATGATCTGCCCGCCTCAGCCTCCCAAAGTGCTGGGATTACAGGTGTGAGTCACCACGACTGGCCTGATACATACAATCTTTAAAAATTAGTCAAAAATAGAACAGGTAGTCTATGTAGTTATGTAGTCTTTTTTAGTGAAGGCAACACAATTCTTTCAGTGAATTAGTGAGTAGTAGTTGAAATTATTTTAAAAGTTAAATGGTTGTTTCTACATGCTTGAATAATTCTGAGTTATCAGAAGAAATTGTGCGGACTTACTTGAATGTTTTTCACAGATTGAGAGCCTTGGAACCTTCTAAGTACCCTGCTCTCTTGTTCTCAATCTCAGTACCCTGCTCTCTTATTCTTCAAATATACTTGGAGATTGAGAACAAGAGAGCTGGGTGGGTACTCAGCAAAGGACTAAGGAGTGAATAGTGTGGTATGAGGAATATTAGGAAGGTGTGGTGTGTTAGAAGCCAAGTAAAAGAAATAAGAACTAGTAATAGGAATTATTAAAAGGGATCAACTAGTAGTAAAATTCAGATTCAGATGATGTGGCTCTGGAATCTATGCTCTTAACACTTACTGCATGCTTCGTGCTTGAGTTCACTACAGGGTTGATTTAGTATCTTCACTTTGTGTCTTGATAGGCCTCTCATGGTCGAGGGCAACATCCATATTTTAAAAAAATTTTTTCCCCACCCTTCCCCCAACTGCCCGTTCTCCTTCCCATACTCCCCATTGTCCTTTGAACCTCTACATTTTAAGTAAAAATAGCAAGATGGAGGAAGAGACCAGGATGAAGGCATAAAGGATATTTTGTTTATTAAGGAAGGTTCTGTGAGGTTACTATGGGATAATTCTGTTTACATCCTGGCCACAACTTTACCACAGGGTACTGCACTTAGCTGCAAAGGAAGCTGGGAGATGTTATAGAACTTTAGGCAACCATGTGTTTAAGTAGAGTATAACCATTGAGGAAGGAATATTTGAGAAAGAATATTGAGTAATCAGTCTTTGCTACATAAGATATCTCCTACAGTATGCAAACAGCATCGATTTAGTTGATTAGAATCAATAATAAATATCAATTATTATTTCAAAGGACTACATTTTTATAAAAATTACCGAAAACTAAATTTTTCACAGTGATTTTAGTTTTGTCACATGCACTCAACATTGCAAGCAAACTAAACTTACTTGGACAGTAAGAGATGTTTAATGTATTAATATATTTAGCGTGTCTTCGTTAATTTCTGTTTCAGTGAAGGGGATGTTTTGAGTTTGCATCTGCTGCAGCTGGCCTTTGGTAATAGAAAGTGTTTGGCATCAGGACAAATCTTATATGAGGTAAATGGTCATTGGACTATGGGTTTATATTACCATTTTGTTGTTTTCTATTTTAAATATGTTGTCTTTGTTTTAAGATATTGAAAAGTGATTCTTTTTTTTTTTTTTTTTGAGACAGAGTCTCGCTCTGTCGCCCAGGCTGGAGTGCAGTGGTGCAATCTTGGCTCACTGCAACCTCCGCCACCCGGATTCAAGCAATTCTCTGCCTCAGCCTCTGGAGTAGCTGGGATTACAGGTGCCCGCCACCACGCCTGGCTAATTTTTTTGTATATTTAGCAGAGACGGAGGGGGGGGGGTCTCACCATCTTGGCCAGGCTGGTCTTGAACTCCTGACCTCGTGATCCACCCACCTCGAACTCCCAAAGTGCTGGGATTACAGGTGTGAGCCACCGCACCTGGCTGTGAAAAGCGATTCTTATATTGAAGTTAATATTGTATTCATAATGTAGTAGAAGTAATTTAAATTAGAGATCTGTTTTACCTATTTACCCAGGTAGCATTCTTAACTTCTCAGATACCGTTTTCCTCTACAATGAGGGGACTGGACTAGATTCAAGCTTGTGGCTTAATTGGTACCCAGGAAAAATAATTCCACTTTGTTGCTCTAACATATCAAGCATTAAGCCATAGGGTGATTTTTATAAGAGGACATACGCGTCTGGGCTTTTAGATGGCTGCCTATTTATCTGGCTGAATTCCTGAGGAGATCGGAGGGGTGCTGCTAATAGCTGTATTTTGTTCACCCTCACATACCTGTCTCTAGAACCGACTTTTCTGAACCTAATGTTGGAGGCGTATAGAAACGGGTTTCAGGGAATCAGTAAAGGCCCTGAATTATGTGTTGCATTTTTATGGGCGAAGTCTCATAGCCTTTTGTCAGATTCTTAAAGGTATCAATAAGCTAAAAGTCTAAGAACTATTCTAGAGCAAGAATTTCTGTGAGAACACAGGTATAGTATTGCTGGTCTGAGATATATGCATATATAATTTTGATGGTTATTCCAGTTTACATACCAACCAGTAGTGCATGAGGGCTTCTGTGTTAAATAACTTTAGAAGACTTGTTGGTAATTATTTTTGAGAGACTAAATCTCACTTTTTATTTGTTTTAAAGTATGTAAAATTTTAGAGCCTTTTTCCATGATTGGTTCTCTTCAGTCTAAATTGTTTTCTTTGTATTGTGTGAACAATCTTTAAATTTGGAGAATATTTAATTTTAGAGTGACTTTTTGCCTAGAATCAGATTAATATTTGCGTGTATTTTATGTTACAGGGGTTAGAATACTGTGAAGAAAGATACACCCTGGACCTGACAGGTGGCATGTTCCCTTTGAGGGGACAGACGAGTAATACCAAATTGTTGGGATGCCAGAGTATAGAGAAATTTCGATCTCATGGTGACAGGGAGGAAGGCGTGAATGAAGGTTAGTTAAAGTACTTGAAATATGTCATGTGAAGGCTGGATTTAAAATTTATGACAGGTGTTATTTTCTAGATTTCATACTCCTGGCAGTTCAGAAAATTGGAATAGTAATTAACGGAATTTATTCAGTTCTATATGAGATACTAGATATTTCTTGCTCTCCAGATTGCTATGTATAACTAAACAATAAAATAGATTAGGGTAATGAAGGACCCTTTTATTTTAATCTAGTTCTCAAAACAGGCGATCCCTAGTCTGAACTAGTGTGAGTAGTCTTTGAATGAAGTTTACCCGTGTATTTTTTGAGCCATGTATGGCATACATGCCTTGGTTGTCTTGAATGTTTTCTCTGTCTTCTTTAGTGTCATCGCTTTTTCCTGGCAGTTTTTTTTGCATCGGTTTTTTAAGCCAAGATTATCGTAATCCAGCCCTATCACTAGTGATGACCTTTGACAAATTGCTTAACATTTCAGAGCTCTGTTTCTCCATCTGTAAGTGGGATCCTAGTTAGACCTTTTGCAAAGGGTAGTTGTGAGGATTAAATCACACAGCGAACTTACCCATCCCAGAAATGCCCTTTTTGCTAGGGCCTGTATCTGTATTTCTGATCCAGGTTTCAGATCCAGTTAAATATGTGAAAAGCACATGTTGTCATGAGCTCACGTCTTTTTAAAGTTTTTATTTGTTTATTTATTTAGAGACAGGGGTCTCACTCTGATGCCCAGGCCAGTCCAGGCCAGAGTGTGGTGGCATGATCTTGGCTGGTTGCAGCCTTGACCTTCTGGGCTCAACCAATTCTCCCATCTCGGTCTCCCAAGTAACTGGGACTGCCGGCACACACCACCACACCTGGCTAATTTTTGTATTTTTTGTAGTGACAGGGTGTTTTGTTTTTTTTTGTTTTGTTTTTTTGAGATGGAGTCTCGCTCTGTCCAGTGCAGTTGCACGATCTCAGCTCACTGCAAGCTCCGCCTCCGGGGTTCATGCCATTCTCCTGCTTCAGCCCCCTAAGTAGCTGGGGCTACAAGCACCCGCCACCATGCCCAGCTAATTTTTTGTATATTTAGTAGAGACAGGGTTTCACCGTGTTAGCCATCTCCTGACCTCATGATCCACCCGCCTCGGCCTCCCCAAGTGCTGGGATTACAGGCGTGAGCCACCGCACCTGGCCTGTTTTTGTTTTTTTAGAGACAGGGTCTCACTGTCGCCCAGGCTGGAGTGCACTTGCACGATCTCGTCTCACTGCAACCTCTGCTTCCCAGGTTCAAGCGATCCTCCCACCTCAGCCTCCTGAGTAGCTGGGACTACAGGTGCATGCCACAATGCCCGGCTAATTTTTGTATTTTTTTGTAGAGATGAGGTTTTTGCTGTGTTGCCTGGGCTGGTCTCGAATTTCTGGGCTCAATTGATCTGCCCACCTGGCCTTCCAAAGTGCTGGGATTACAAGTGTGAGCCACTGCACCTGGCCATGCTCTCTCTTATTCCCCATTCTTCCTATTTCCTTATAGTAGTGTTTCAGATTTTTACTTTCTTCTTCTCCTGTTGATGTCTCTTACTCTATTCCTGTCTTTCCATTCCACAGGCACCATCCAAGCACTTTTCTTTTTCTCTCTTTACCTTATAACTGGATAAGTCCTTCTCAGCTAAGGTTCATCATAATAAAGCCTTAATGCCCAAAAGCATCCGTTTTAGGTAGTGAATTAACTTCTCTAGTACTAGCTCCGTACCGTCCTTGCGAGAGAGACTGTTCATTCAAATCATTTTGTACTTTCTGCCTCTAATACCTCAACGTTGCTCAAGTATTAACTGAAAACAAGCAAGGATATAACTTCTGATGAGTGACTACTTTTTAATAAGGCCTTAAAATTGAGAAACAGTCAAAATGCAAGTGAATGAATCTGGTCTTACATACAAATGATAGAAATGCGTTTTGATGAATCAAGTGAAATATGAATTAAACCGCTTAATTTATGAGAAAATCTTGCTATAATTCTGTTGAGGTGATTTTACTTTGAGATTCTTTATTCTGTTTTTAAAAATTATCTTTTTCTTCCAGCTCTATCGCCTGACACTAGTGTTTCAGTCTTTACCTGGCAGGTGAATATATATGGACAGGGAAAGCCTTCTGTATATTTGGGGCTTTTTGATATAAATCGTTGGTATCATGCACAAATGCCAGATTCGTTAAGGTATGATTCTTTTTTTTTCTCTCTCCTTTCTCTTTGTATTTGTATGTGTAGCTGACCAATGACTTAGTAATGTTTTAAATTTTCTTTTAGGTCAGGAGAATATCTACATAATTGCTCTTATTTTGCACTGTGGTCATTGGAGTCTGTTGTAAGTAGGACTTCTCCACATGGCATCTTGGATATATTAGTACATGAGAGAAGTTTAAATAGAGGAGTCCCTCCTTCATATCCACCTCCCGAGCAGTTTTTTAATCCAAGCACTTATAATTTTGGTATGTATTTCCTTAACATTACCTCTTAAGAAAAGTAATGCACAAAAGTATGTAAATGTATACGTTGTGTAGTTTATTCATTTAGTGTTATCTGTTTGTATCTCACTGTTAGTTAACATATGGATAACTTAGGAAATTAATATATACACACAAGAAACTTAGTATTTATATGTTTTATAAAGGAATTATGACTTGGAGATATTTAGTATTTATATGTTTTATAAAGGAATTATGACTTATTTTGAACTTGCTAGGAAAGATATTAACTGTTTCACATCTGGTGCATTTTATAGTAGCTTTTATTTTTTTTGCTGTGTTTCTCAGCTGTGCTTGGAGTTTTTTGGGTTTTGTTTTTTGCTTTTTTCTTGTTTTGCTGTGTAATAGGTTTGTTATCTATTCTTAGGATGAAAATACCTAGAAAAGTTTATTTAAAGATTTATTACATGTAATAATTTGACACCTTGCCTTGCAGTCTGTTATTGGATAAATTTTGTTCTATTAATGCCATTTTAAATATATGTAAGTGGATTATTTTTTAAATCTTTTTTTTAGATGCCACTTGTTTGTTAAACTCGGGAGTTGTTCATTTAACTTGTACTGGCTTTCAGAAGGAGGTAGGTAACAACTAGTGATTTCTTAATTGAACTGAAGTCAGATCTTAGAATATAGTTGATTTATGGATTTAAGTTTTACTTAGTGATATTGACAGTTGTTTCAGCTTAAATGGTAGCTTCTGCTAGGTTTATGAGATTATCAACTAGTAGTATCAGTTACTAATGACAGCCTGCCGGAAGACGTATTGTATGTTTTTAGCAACTAATTTATGTAGATGCTAGCTACGTGAACCTCAAGCTTTCTGTCTCCTCAGAAAGCTTATGAGGAAATGAAGTAATGCAAAGAAGGCACCTAGCACAGTGGTATAGTGCCTGGCACAGGAAAAAAAAAAAGAATTTTGAAAAATACTTTTCTCTTTTTGAGACGGAGTTTCGCTCTTGTTGCGCAGGCTGGGGTGCAGTGACACCATCTCGGCTCATTGCAACCTCTGCCACCCAGGTTCAAGTGATTCTTCTGCCTCCGCCACCTGAATAGCTAGGATTACAGGTGCTCACCACCACGCCCGGCTAATATTTTGTATTTTTAGTAGAGATGGGGTTTCACCATGTTGGCCAGGCTGGTCTCGAACTCCTGACCTCAGATGATCCGCCTGCCTCGGCCTCCCGAAGTGTTGGGATTATGAGCGTGAGCCACCGTGCCTGGCCTGAAAAATGCTTTTCTAGGGAAGTATGATGTGGCAGACCTTTTCATTGATAATCGTCCAGATGTGGATGAATGCTGTATTTATACTTAATATCAAATCTCTTTCACATTAGATAAAGAGGAGTAGACTGCAGGAGTTTTCCTGTGTGTGTGTGTGTGTGTGTGTGTGTGTGTGTGTGTGTGTGTTTTGTCAAGATGTCACCAAATCTGTCAGCTTTAGAGAAGACAGCAGGGTTATACAGTTCATAAAAATATATAAGCTACCTTTTGCTAATAGTAGTATTCACAACTAGCAAGCATTGGTTAAGCTTAAGAACCTATAAACTCTGTTTCTTGCAGGAAATATAGTCTTTCATAATTTCCACTTGCTATCTTTAAATTTTACTTAAATTTTAAGTGTAATTAATTAATCTTAAATTTGATTATTCAAATTGAGCATTGATTGATGCCTTACTAATTTATCTGTTACAGACTTTGACTTTTTTAAAGAAATCAGGTCCATCACTCAATGAACTCATTCCTGATGGTTATAATCGATGTCTTGTAGCTGGCCTTCTTTCCCCAAGATTTGTTGATGTTCAGCCTTCCAGTTTAAGCCAAGTGAGATGATTTTTAACTCTATTGTTTCTTTTGGTTGGATCACGTTATTAGCTTTCTATTACAGTAAAAATGTATTAGATAATTTCTGCAAAAATAGGTGAAGTAGTGTAATGCTGACTCTGGGTGATCAGCAGTTGTGGTCTTAGGTTTGGTTTAAAATTCCTATTCCTAATACCCAATAGGCCATAACTTGGCAGCAGGTTGACTTAGCTGTATAGAAGGATACAGGACAGGAAACACCTCATGGCTGCCTCAGGCTGGAATGCAGTGGCATGGTCATGGCTCACTGTAGCCTCAACCTCTTGGGCTTAAGCGATCTTCCCACCCCAGCCCCCGCAAGTAGCTAGGACTACAGACAGGCACAACTATGCTTAGCCCTTTTTTTTTTTGGTAGAGACAGGGTCTCGCTATGTTGCCTAGGCTGGTCTTAAACACCAGGCCTCAAGTTACCCTCCCACCTTGGCATCCCAAAGTGCTGAAATTACAGGCATGAGCCACCTTGCCCAGCCTGTAATAATGTATTTTTACTGTACCTTTTCTGTGTTTAAATACACGTATACTTCATATTGTGTTACAGTTGCTTACAGTATTCAGCACAGTAACATGCTATACAGGTTTGTAGCTTAGGAGCAATATACATAGCCTTGATATGTAGTTGACTACACCATCTAAGTTTGTGTAAGTACGCTCTTACCATGATTGCACAACAATGAAACACCTAACGAAACATTCATCGGAATGTATCCCCATCATTAAGCAACACATGGCTATATGGAAAAATGCAATTCATTTTTGTATATTTATTTGATATCTACATAACTTTCAAGGTGTGCAACCATCAGCAAATAATAGACTTTTTTCGTTTATTTGTTTGTTACTACCTTTATTTTTTTTGAGACAGCATCTCGGTCTGTTGCCCAGACTGGAGTGCAGTGACGTGATCTTGGCTCACTGCAACCTCCAACCTCCTGGGTTCAGGTGATTCTCCTGCCTCAGCCTCCTGAGTAGCTGGAACTAGAGGCGTGTGCCACCACACCCGGCTAATTTTTTATTTTTAGTAGAGACAGAGTTACACCATGTTGGCCAGGCTGGTCTCAAACTCCTGACCTCAAGTGATCTGCCCTCCTCGGCCTCCCAAAGTGCTGGGATTACAGGTGTGAGCCACTGTGCCTGGCCAGTTACTGAGTTTTCTCATTGCAATGTGGTAGAACTTCTATAAACTATAGGTAATAATGTTAGTAGCAGACGTTTCTGTTTTGTCCCTGGTATTAAATATAAATGGCTTCAGTGAGTCTCCGTTTAGAGTCATGCCTTCTTAGGTTTTGTGGACCATTATGTAATTCCCTCTGTGCCTGTTCAACTTACATTCATGGGATTCCTTTTTGAACATCTTTTAATTTGCTCCTGTAATGAATGAAATTAATAGGTTCCTGTGATATTAAACCAGACTCAGTGATTTTCAAAATATCAGCTTTATTGAGATATTTCATACACCGTGCAGTTCAGATATTTCAAGTGTACAGTTCAGTGATTTTAATTCACAGAATTCTGCAACTGTCATCACATTCCATTTTAGGACATTTTTATTACTTCTAAAGAAAGTTCTATGCCCATAAACAGTCACTCCTTTTCCCTTACCTTCCTGCCTGCCCCATCCTACCCAGCCTTACATAATGACTAATCTACTTTCCTGTCTTTATAGATTGACCTATTCTAGACATTTCATATAAATGGGTCAAATAATATGAAGTCTTTTGTGACTGTCTCATTTAGCATGTTTTCAAGGTTCATCTGTATTATAGCAAGTATCAGTACTTCATCCCCTTTTATGGCTGTATAATATTCTGTTGTATGAGCATACCATAATTTGTTTATCTACAATTAATGGGCATTTGTGTTGTTTCCACTTTATGGCTATTAATAATGGTGCTGTGAACCTTCATGTGAAATTTTTGTTTGGGCGTGTATTTTTGTTTCTTTTTGGTATATACCTAGGTGTGGAATTGGAGGGTCGTGTGGTAAGTCTATGTTTAGCATACTGAGAAACCGCCAAACTGCTTTGCAGAGTGGCTGTTCCATTTTACATTCCCACCAGCAGTGTATGAGAGTTCCAGTTTTAACACGTCCTTACCATGCTTGTTATTGTCTTTTGATTATAGCCCTTCTTATGGGTCATACTGATTTTTTTAGCCTTAAAATTTTTAAATTCTAAACCAGAACTTGCCTATGATCTCACACCCTCTTTCTTTCCATTTCTTTCCTTTCTGTAATGCATGGTTTAGGAAGAACAGTTAGAAGCTATATTGTCAGCAGCAATTCAGACTAGTTCCCTGGGACTTTTGACTGGTTATATCCGAAGATGGATAACAGAAGGTAAGATTCTGATAACAAGTAAAATGTTTGGTATTTTTAAAGTTATCAACTTGCTATTTGTTATATTTTTTTCTTAGTTATTTTAATTTTGATATAATTGAAGATCCACATGCAGTTGTTAAGATGCAATAGAGAGATCCCACCCCCTTTAGCACGTTTGCCCACAGTATGATGATCTGACAAACCTTTAGTACAGTCAGCACCACCAGGATCCCTCATGCTGCCGTTACAGCCATACCTACCTTCTTTCTGCCCCATCCTTAACCCCTGGCAAGAATTTTGTCATTTTAAACATGTTCATAAATGGAATTATGCAGTATGTAACCTTTTTGGATTACCTTTTTTACTCAGCAAAATTCTCTAGGAATTCATCCAAATTGTTGTGTGTATCACTGTTACTCTTCACACACATACACACACACACCCCAAACGCATATTGTCTGTTCAGAACCATTTGAGAATAGTTTTTTTTCTGAACCATTTGATGATAAGCCATCATGCTTTTGTAGCCCATAAATATTTCAGTATTGCTGCTTCTAAGAATAAGGACATTCACTTACAAAACCACTTTGTGATCATAAAAAATCAAGAAAATTAAGACTTTTATCTAACCTAGAGACCTTATTGAAATCCCAGTAATGTCCTTTATTTCAATTTAGAGGGTAGAGAGAGCTCAGAATCATGCTTTGTATTTTGTTTTTTGGAAAAGAGATCTAGAATAGTTTGTATGTAATTGTTTTTATAATTTCCCTTAATCTTGTACATTTTGTCACTTTGTCTTTCAAAAAATTGACCTTTTTTTTTTTAAAGGAATTAGGCCTTATTTTATAGACTGCATTTTAGTTTGTGCTTGCCGTCGCTCCTCATGATTAAATGACAGTTTTTGCATTTTTGGCGGCAGCATTACCTGAAATGACGTGCTCCGTGGTGTGGTGCACTGAGAAAGTCCATTTTCCCAAGTTGCCTCCCTGAAGTGTTGATGTTCACTCGGTTAGGGTGCTGTCTGCCATGCTTCTCCACCAACAATTTAGAACTCTGTTTGTAATTAATAATCTTTATTTTTTCCCTTTTGTATTTACAAATAAGAACAACCAAATTCTGCCACTAATTTGCGCTTTGTTCTTGAATGGACGTGGAATAAAGTGGTTCTCACAAAAGAGGAATTTGACAGACTATGTAAGTATTAGAGGTCTAGATGTAGGACAGAATTTAATATTAAAATACTAACCTTGGTTTATGTCTTAAGTACATAATTTTTAATCATTTTGAAGTTGTAAACTCTTTTCTTTTTTTGAGACTGAGTCTTGCTCTGTCGCCAGGCTATAGTGCAGTGGCGCGATCTTGGCTCACTGCAGGCTCCACCTCCCGGGTTCAAACGCCATTCTCCTGCCCGCCACTACGCTCGGCTAATTTTTTTGTATTTTTTAGTAGAGACGGGGTTTCACCGTGTTAGCCAGGATGGTCTCGATCTCCTGACGTTGTGATCCGCCCGCCTCTGCCTCCCAGAGTGCTGGGATTACAGGCGTGAGCCACCGCGCCTGGCCTGAAGTTTTAAACTCTTAAAATTTGAAGATGTCCCAAAAGAAAATTATTTCTTTTTACATTAAAGTGATAAAAGTAATTTTTTTTTTTGAGACATGGTCTCACTTTTTGCCCAGGCAGGAGTACAGTGGTGAGTTCATGGCTCAGTGCAGCCTTGACTTTTTGAGCCCAAGTCATCCTCCTGCCTCAGCCTCCTGAGTAGCTTGGACCACAGGCACATGCTGCCTCACCCAGCTAATTGTTGTATTTTTTGTAGAGACATGGTCTCACTATATTGCCTAGGCTGGTCTTGAACTCCTGGCCTCAAGCGATCCTCCTGCCTGGGCCTTCCAAAGTGTTGGTATTACAAGGCGTGAGCCACTACATCCAGCCAAAAGTAATTTTTGACCAAGATTTTGCAGCAGGTCATTAAACTGGCAACATGCTGATATGCCTACAATAGCAGGTTTTAGGATTATAACTTGTCTTTTGGTCTTAGGAGTTTAATTTACTAAATATACTGATGATGGAGTAAGCGGAATGTGCTAGGTAACCCTCAGAAGTTTCTGTACTTAACTCACTTTCTATTTAACATATTGATAGAAATGATGAAGTTGAATGGCAGGGTAAAAATGCATCACTGCTGTCCTCCATGGATAGATGTCGTTATTATTGTGGCAAATCATTTTCCTTCTTGACAGTTTTATTAATCTGTTGTTCATTTCGATTGAGTCTTGAGGTATGTCATGAATATTAAAAACTATCATGTCCAGTTAGTGCAAAAATAAGGCTAAAAAGTACTAGTAGGGATACAGTTGCACTGTAAGTGAAAGTAAAATTTATTTAGAGGTAAATGTTTTAGTCATTTCTCTTGTGTCATGATGAGTAAACAAATGGACTTTTGAAATGATTTGACTATAGATAGCTTTTCACAATGTAAGTTAAGTTATTCTTAGTAGAGGATTTTTAAACCAATCAAGTTCGTTAGGAAGACATGGCGCTTTCTAGTGTTTTTAGACTATACTTATGAAACTGTTGTCATGAAATAATTTAAGTGTTTCAGTAATCAGTGTGATTGAAGTCTGTAAGAACACTATCAGGTGTTTAGGATCAGAGTAAAAATGTCCTCATTTTTTTAAGAGGAAAATGTTTGTCAGAGCTCATGTTTTGTAAAAAATTAAACTCAATTCATAAATTGAGTTTTGTTATTCTTTGAGAATAATGTAGTGTTGGGGGTTTAACTTGGTAGTTCAGCTGTTGCTGCTTTGACCTTTGTTACTGGTAGGTTGGGTTTTTTAAAAAATAAAAATAAAAACCTCTAAGAATAATTAACATACAAAGCATAGTAAGTGTTTTAAAAGTATTAGAGATTAGGTGTGGTGGCTCAGGCTTGTAATCCCAGTACTTTAGGAGGCTGAGATGAGAGGATTGCTTGAGGCCAGGAGTTCAAGACCAGCCTGAGCAATATAGCAAGACCCCCGTCTCTGCAAAACCAAAAAAAAATCTTTTTTTTAATTAGCTGGGCAGGGTGGCACATGCCTATAGTCCCAGCTCCTTGGGAGGCTGAGCTAGGAGGAACACTTGAGCCCAGGAGTTTGAGAGTGCAGTGAGCTGTGATCGTACCATTGCACTCCAGCCCAGGTGACAGAGTGAGACCCTATCTCAAAAAAAGTATTAGAAGTAAAGCAAATTAGGTCGGGCACAGTGGCTCATGCCTGTAATCCCAGGACTTTGGGAGGCCGAGGCGGGCGGATCACCTGAGGTCAGGAGTTCGAGGCCAGCCTGGCCAACATGGTGAAACCTCATCTTTACTAAAAATACAAAAATTAGCTGGGTGTTGTGGCACATGCCTGTAATCCCAGCTACTCAGGAGCCTGAGGCAGGAGAATCCCTTGAACCTGGGAGGTAGAGGTTGCAGTGAGCGGAGATTGAGATTGCACCACTGCACTCCAGCCTGGGCGACAGAGCAAGATGCTGTCTCCAAAAAAAAAAAAAAAAAAAAAAAAAAAAAAGTAAAACAAATTAGAATTTGATTTAAAGAAGGATTTTAGAATGAAGACAGTTGTTTTCTAGACCAGTGACACATTAAATATTGATGTAACTAAATGTGTCATTAAAGTAAATCCCTGTCTTTTGATGTGTGCTGGTTATGAGGACAAGCTCTAGATATAGATGATTTGAGTTCATAGTCTCACTCTTGGCTTTTGCTAGTTTTATATTGAAAGCACTTTTTAGGTTCCTTGGAGGTTTTGCCATTTCTAGCTTGTCTTTATAAATCTCATAATGAATAGAATAATTCTTTTGAGTGATAGGAGTTTGAGAAATTTTGCATTGTGATTCTAATTTATTTAGATTTACTGTATGGAAACTTATCTTTTCTTTTATTCTTGAAAGGTGTGCCATTATTTGATGGTTCGTGTCATTTCATGGATCCACAAACTATACAGTCTATCCAGCAATGCTATTTGCTTCTTAGCAATCTTAATATAGTCTTGAGCTGTTTTGCATCAGAAGCCCGAGAGATCACTGAGAGAGGTACGCTCTTTGTTTTATCAAATGAGTGTTTTATTAAATTTTACTTCTTGACTAAGAGAAACGAATAACATTTCCCATGTCTTAGATGGATCATTATGTAAAGAGGACTTTATTTCTCCAGTGCTAGGGTTTTTGTTTGTTTCTTTGTTTTAATGAAAAGCTACAGAATGTTGTTAGACATGCCATGAGCCCATGCTTAAATAAGCTTGGGAAATTCTGAAGTTAATGATTATTAAGATTAATGTATTTGCAGTAAAGTTTCAAATTAAGTTATATGTATTTTTTATTCAAAGAACTCATAAATTTTTTCTGTTTTGCAATTTCAAAACAAAAACAAGCCAATTTCATTTAAATGCCTGTTTTGAACAATCTTTATTAGTGATACTATGCTAGTTTGTATTAATGAGTAAATCTGAGTTCTGGAATTAGCTAAATGAAAGTGTAGCTGAGGTGAAAGTGTATTTACCTAAAATGTCTATTTTAGGGAGTGACTTACTTATTTTAGCATTTTGGAGGTTTGCTTGACATCATTTTGGACCAAAGTAAACTAAATACAAAGATGAATTAGTTCAAGAGAGATACATATATCTTGAACAAATATGTATATGTAAAATATATATTTACAAATTATGTAAATTACCAAGTGATTAATTTTGAAAACTGTGGAGCATCTTGATTTTTTTGTAAGTAAACAACTGATGTTAACTCTTCTTTACAGGACTGATAGACTTAAGCAATAAGTTTGTGGTTTCCCACCTCATCTGTCAGTATGCACAAGTGGTTCTTTGGTTCTCTCATTCTGGGCTTTTACCAGAAGGCATAGGTAAAATATTTACTTAATCTATAAGTATTAATTAAAACATTCTGAATCTTTATAATTTTGTTATTGTATTCTAATGCTTTGGGTTTCTTTTCTTCCACCTCACTTATTTTTCTCCTTAATTTAATTTATGCTTAACCTTCTTTTCTTACATTTTTCCTTACTTTGTATCTTCATCCTATGCCTGACACACAGTGCTCATACATGTTTATTGGATTGAATAACATTTAGAAGGAAAGCAAATTTGAGAAAACATAGCTCCTGAAAATGAGTTCAGCAATATTACTAGCTATTATTTAGATCCATAGAACTATAGTTTCTATAACTCAGTTTTCCTGTTTCCTGGTAATGGTCCTTTTAATATGGTTACTGACTAATATTTCTTCAATTAAATACCCCCTTTTATCTAGTGATTTATGCCAGTACCAACAATAAGATAATTTTTGGTATTTGACTTGTGCTATATTTGTTTAGAATATAACTTGCAAAGCCTTCAGCTTCTTGCATTTCCAGGAAGCCATTAGATTTTATTTAGAAGTGCCTCTGCCACTGTACATAATTGTTGATCTTATTTTTTCATAATTCTCTTAGATTTTGATTTGTAGTGAACATTTCTTGCTTTCAAATTATTATTTGTGCCTAAGGAGTAAAGTTATTTAGAACAGTTTCCAGGATTTTAAGCCCCCATCCATGTAGTTAGACTTTCATGACAGATCATTTTCTCACTTGTGCCTCTGTAAATAAAAAGATGTGTAGTAATCTTTTATTACCTAAATATACCCACCCTGTGGGTTAACCAGGGGTTGCTGTAAATATTAAATTACAGTAAAATATTAATATGTATTGTTGAGATATTTGGGGATTATTACCAGCTTTTTTTCCAACTCTTAAAAATCTAGATGATTCTGTGCAGTTGTCAAGGTTATGCTACAACTACCCTGTAATTCAGAACTACTACACCAGTCGTCGACAGAAGTTTGAGCGTTTATCAAGGTATAGTAAAACAATTTTAGAAATTACATCTGTAAGAAGTCAAAGTTTCTCAGAATAGTGTTCATCGTTTTACAAAGTGATTAAATGGGTAGAATTCTCAGTTAAGTATCAGAATTTGCTATTACCATTACTATTTTATTTCTCTTTTTTAAAAAAGTACACGAATAACCTACTTAGTTCCTTTGAAATGAAGTAAAGGTAATAGACAAAGAAAGTGGTGTTGAGAGTCTTGACCACACTTCTGGAAATAGTCGTCTTCCTCGAGTTGCAGTGACAAAATTACAAAGCATATAACATTTAGAGCAGTGCCACAAACGTTGATTCCAGGTTTCTTACACCTGAATCACCTGGGAATCAGTACTTTAAAATCTGTGCCGGCTGTAATTCTGATGCATGGCAATTGTGGGAACCAGTGCTTTAGAATGACCAATTTAGGAGAGTGAACATTAGCTTGGGAGATTGACTAGGCATATTTTAAAATTCTAGATCTGTTATTTCCTAAGTGTATATCCTTGGCAGCTTTGTTATGCTTTCTAATCCTGCTTGTTATATAAGTTATAAAGTCAGTATAAAGCTAAATAAAATAGTATGTGCAGGACATCTAGTGCAGTGCCTGGCTCATTGGACAACCGCAAAGAGTAGTAAGTGCTGCCGCTATTCACAATTAGAAAAGGAAATCAGGGGAAAAAAGAAGAGAAAAGAAAAGGAAATAGGGACCATACCTGCACGTTGCATCATAGGCACTCAGCAATAGATATTCGAGTGAAGGAATCACTGAGGATAAAAGACTAACCCAAGTGATGAAACAGAAACTTTAACTCTCTGTCTTTGAACTTCATTATTTTCACTACGCTGGGCTTTATGGTAGTTTGCTTAATATGGTGAAAAATAGAATGGTCACTGGCTGGATGGACCACATGGGGACCTCACCTTGACTGACTGGCTTGTTGATGACTGAACTTGAGGCAAATTAAGGGCTTATCCGACTAACTCTCCTTGATGTCTGTAGTTCTCATCATGCTAACTAGGGTCAAATTCCCAATTCTCTCCTCTCTCTCTGTTTTTAGAGACAGGGTCTCTGTTGCCCAGGCTGCAGTGCAGTGGCATGTGTATAGCTCACTTTAAACTCCTGGGCTCCAACGATCCTCCTTCCTTATCCTCCTGAGTGGCTAGGACTACAGGTGCACACCACCATGCCCAGCTAGTTTTTATATTTTCTTTAGAACTGGGGTCTTGCTGTATTGCCCAGGCTGGTCTCGAACTCCTGACCTTGAGTTGATCCTCCTGCCTTGGCCTCCCAAATCACTGGGATTACAGACATAAGCCACCATGCCCAGCCTCTTCTCTCTTTGATAGTTGGGATTATTACTTTTAATATTTTGATGCTGGTTGCTTTGATATTAATTAACAGTGATATTAAATAAGTCTTAATTTTTCCCTGATTGCAGAGGGAAGTGGAATCCCGATTGCTTGATGATTGATGGACTGGTTTCTCAGTTAGGAGAGCGAATTGAGAAGTTGTGGAAACGAGATGAAGGAGGCACAGGAAAATATCCTCCTGCTAGTCTGCATGTAGGTTTGCAGTAATGTGCTATCATTTAGAGTCTACAAAGCTGGGGAGGGAGGAGACATGCTTAGCTGTGTGTCTGGCACAAACTTGGGAAAACAAGAAGCATGAATGAATGAATGACTGTATAAGATCCACTGAAGGTTTTATCCCTTTGTTTTATAGGCAGTACTTGATATGTACCTATTAGACGGCGTTACTGAAGCAGCCAAACACTCTATTGTATCCTTTTAAGTTTTATCCAGTGTTTCATGTATTACTAAAATTATAAAATTTCAAGAGTAGTGGAAACCTGACATATCTAATTGCAAGGTTGAATTTTGGTTTTGTTTTCTTAAGAAGAGGTGTTAACCCAGGATCTGTTGTTTGGGCTCAGATGGCCTGTGATCAACCTAAAACTATATGAAAAATTTTGTTTTTTATTTGTTTTTCTAGGTATAGGGTACTTGGCTTTTATCAGACACTTAAATGTGTCCAAGACACTCAAAAAGTTAACAACAGTTGCTCTAAAATACTACCACCAAGTGGTCACTATCAATGGCATTAACCTCTGTGCTGGAAATGAATACATTATAAGTTAGCGTGATACTACCTTAGGCATTATTTGAGTCCTATAGTCTTTGTGATAATATTTTTGTGCTAATGTTAGTTACTTAGTCTAAAAATGTATAATTCCATTTATAATTTATAAGCTAGATGATGTTTGATTAAGCTGCCATCTTTTGCTAGATCTTTAGAAATTTGCGTATATCTTTGTTTCTTGTATTTACTGAGCTACTGACTTCATAAAAATACGCTTTATCTCCTTTGTGGTGCTGATAATAAAATACTGAGAATGAATGAAGTTGGTGCGGGACTGGTTGTACCCACATTTACTAAAACTATCTTCTCATTGCTGACTCTCCATGATGGCTTTCTAAACACTAAAAACAGGCATTTCAAGTCTCTTTTAATGCTACATTTTGTTGCTACCTATTGTAAATATATACGTAGGAGGTTTTTGTTGTTGTATTTTATTGTCCTTAATCCGCTTTTTAAAAGACCATTTATTTGCTACTTGATATTATGTATTCCTTTCCCAACAAAACAGACACTCCCATTGAATCTTTCCCAACTGTATTTGCCATTTCTTGGGGCCAAGTTAAACTTATTCAGGGGTTTTGGTTGATAGATCATAATGACTATGAGGTAAGTCTATTCACTTACAGCATAAACTTTCATGAATTACTAGAATTTTAGAAAATACACATAATTTAAATTTGGTATTAAAAGATATGATACAGTCTACTAAAAATAGTTGAGGAAGGACCCAGTTTAATCAGTACCTTTACCAAGCACTATTTTAGAAGGCAAGAATATAAAGATAATTCAGAACCCCAGGTTTCTTACTGTTTAAAGAAGGAAACTAATAAGTAAGTAATTACGATAGTTCAGATACAGTGATCGTTAATATTAGAGAGATGTTTGGGGTGTTGGGGGAACCATGGAAGGCAAGATTTGGCCTTGATATATGAAATTGGTGATGGGAAGATCTTATAAAATAGTGTGATAGGGTCTTAGAGGTATCAGGTTTTTTATAAAGCTTTTATTCTTTAAAATACAGTTATCATTCAGTATCTGTGTGGAATTGGTTCCAGGATCCAGAAACATACCAAAATTTACAGAGGCTCATGTCTCTTATATAAAATGGCATAGTATTTGCATATACCCTATGCACATCCTCTTGTATACCATCGGCCCTCTGTGTCCATG
Source organism: Homo sapiens (assembly GCF_000001405.40). Taxonomy (NCBI): domain Eukaryota; kingdom Metazoa; phylum Chordata; class Mammalia; order Primates; family Hominidae; genus Homo; species Homo sapiens. The sequence continues at coordinate 246,886,646 of NC_000001.11, read as the reverse complement.
GATTCTACATCCGTGGCTTCAATCAACTGTAGATCAGAAATATTCAGGGGAAAAAATTGGGTCTGTACTGAACATGTACAGACATTTTTCTTGTCATTATTCCCTAGATGTTACACTATAACAATTATTTACATGGTATTTACATTTCATTGGGTATTTTAAGTCATCTCTAGATCTTGATCTTTAAATCATCTGTAGATTACTTATAACATCTAATACAATGTAAATGCTGTGTGAATAGTTTATTCTGTATTGTTTTTATTTGTATTATGTTTTATCATTATACTGTTATTTTTTATTTTTATTTATTTATTTTGAGATGGAGTCTCGCTCTGTCACCCAGGCTGGAGTGCAGTGGCACGATCTTGTCTCACTGCAGCCTGTGCCTCCTGGGTTCAAGCAATTCTCCTGCCTCAACCTCCCAAGTAGCTGGGACTATAGGTACGCACCACCCTACCTGGCTAATTTTTACATTTTTAGTAGAGACGAGGTTTCACCATGTTGACCAGGCTGGTCTTGAACTCCTGACCTCAACTGATCTGCCCACCTCAGCCTCCCAAAGTGCTGGGATTATAGGCATGAGCCACTGCACTTTTTTTGTTTAAACTTACTTTTGTTTGTTTTAGAGACTTGAGTTTTGCCATGTTGCCCAGGCTGGTTTTGAACTCCTGAGCTCAAGCAGTCCGCTTGTCTTGGCCTCCCAAAGTGCGGAGATTACAGGCGTGAGCCACCGTGCCCAGCCTTATTTTTTCAAATGTTTTCTATCTGCACTTAGTTCAGTCTGCAGATATGGATCCTGTAGATACTGAGAGCCAACTCTATATAGCACAGATTAAAGTAGATTTTTTCAGCTTATATTTAAACGAGTCTTATCTGGATTTTTGTGGTTTTTAGTGTTAGGTTTACCTACTTTGTCTAAATGTATAGGATTATATTTATATTTAACATTTTTCATGTTATTTCCAGAGTGGTTTGGATCTTTTGTTTCATCCAGCTACTGCAAAACCTTTGTCATGGCAACATTCAAAGATTATTCAGGCATTCATGAGTCAGGGCGAGCACAGACAAGCCCTCAGATATATTCAGACAATGAAGCCAACAGTGTCCAGTGGTAACGATGTTATCCTTCACCTCACTGTTTTGCTTTTTAATAGGTAAGTACATCTTTTGAAACTATAAAGTCTTTATCGTATCTGTTAATAAAATGGAATTGATGAGATAGACAGTGGCAATATACAATTGGCCGTTAAGTCAGTAAAGTCAGTCCTTTGTATTAGTGGGTTCTGCATCAAATTCAGATTGAAAATACAGTGTTCATGGGATGTAAAACCTGCATATATGGAAGGTCAGCTTTTCATATACATGGGCTCTGCAGGACCAACTTTGAAATTTGAGTATGTGTGGATTTTGGTATCCATGGGGATCCTGGAACCAGTCCCCCAAGGATACTGAGGGACAACTGTATAATATTTTACTTCTGTTGCATTAATATTCTTAATGTTTATTGGTCTTCCAATGTTAAGAAAAACATACAACACCTTTTATCTAGAATAAGATAAATACCTTGAATAAAAGGGAGGGGCGCCAAATTGAGATTTTTAGTTATATTTGTTGCCAGTTGACAACATTGACAGTTGTCCTGCCTGGACAGCTGAGGGTTTAGTATGCTGAAAAGGAGTCAGGAATAGAGAGGAAGAATGAAGTGATAGAGTTGACAAATTGAGAATTTGTATTCAGTAATGGTACTCTGATATTTTTGTTAATATTGGTTGTTTGAGTATTGGAATTCTTTGTATTTCAATTTTGTCATTGCATTTGCCCTATTGCATCCTCATAGAAAGAAAATCTTAAGGAAGTGTCTGGTTTCATGTCTTATTACTTCAACCAGATTTGAGCAAGTGATACCTTTGTTTCTGCCTTTTGCAGATTTTAATGTTCTCTAATCAGTGTATTTGTCATTTACATAATAATGATTATTACAGTCTCACATAGTAACTGTGAGAAAGCTAAATGGCATGATTGGAAGTACAGTGGTATGGTTATTGGGTTTTCTTACGAACTAAGCTGGAGAAATTGCTTGGAGCTGAAATTCCTTACTAGACTTATTTTATACCACTTTTACTGGTTTTATTCAACCCTGTTGATCATTTTTATATTTTTAGAAATTAGTTATTTTACCTCAGCTGTGTTATACATGAACCAATTACCACTTCTGTGTCAGCACTCTGAAAGTTACATTTTCTTGGTTCTCTTTGGTTAAATAGCATGTACTTCTACGGATAAGAGGGTAAGATCTACAAATTTCAGGCAGAAGAAAAGAAGTTTAATAATAGATTGATTAGACACAGAACCTTAACAGTAATGAATTAGCAAGTGCTTGTTGAAATAATCTGGCTTAGCAAAAATGTTTAGATAGCTTAATCTAGAATCAATACTGAGATTTTTTATGAGATCAAAATTGTAGTTTCAATAAGATTTACTGTAAGAACAAAATAAAGAAGCTAAATGTGGTAACTGTTGAATAAATGGGTTAAGAGTTCTAGTACTGGGTTGGAAACCAGCATATAAATTTTTTTTTCATTTGCATGTACCTCTCACTGTTTAGTGATGTTAAAGTGTTGCTACTTAATCACTAATGCTTACGTCAGAAAGGCAGGTGTTGGAACTTTGGAAGAAACATGTTTGGAAGGTTTTTTTCCTCCTTTTGATTCCAGGTGTCCTTCTTTAATTCATCCAGAGCATGTTTCTCTGATTTGCCAGGTTCTAATTTCCTTTACCTTTGCCATATAGTAAACAAACACTAATAAATAGTTTAATTTCTAAACCTTATTTCTCTTAAGTTGGAAAAAGTCTCAATTTTCCAGTCCCCAGAAAACTAGCACATTAAGGCTCCTATACATTAAATACAGAAATAAAAACAACCACTCAAAATGCTATTTGTGAGATAGCTTGTATTCAGATTTAAGAAATGTTTAAAAATAATTACTAGTCCTGTAAATAGAGAATGACTTCAGGGTTGCTAGAAAGTCAGAGAACACTGTTGAAAGTGCAGGTGATAGTTTTTATTGAAACATCTTAGGAGAAAGCTGCTTAAATTTTTGAACTGATAATTTTGCAAAAGGCAGCCATGTTTATTGCCCAGGAGATTATGTAACAGCATACTTTACACTTCATTTTTATCAGAAGGAAGCAAATAACAAGAAAACAAGCTGATTTACAGGGACTTATTCAAGAAAACAAAGTTTCTGAGTATCTCCTGCGGTCATACATAATCACCTAATTTGTTCAAATACCTACATCTCTAGTCCAGCAGTGTTTAATCAGTATATCCTTGAACCATGGATAGAGGTTACATTTGGGAAATTTGAACTAAAAGTCCGAGAAGTTAAGCTGCATAATAGTCCAACACCCAAATGATTTGATTACATAAAGATAGTTGAAATGGCTGAAAAAGTTTTAATATTTAAACCATCAAACACTAACACTCTCCCCGGACTCACCCTTCTGGCTGTACAGCCTCACTCCTGACCTCAGGAGGTTTTGCCCTGTTTTGAACTATTAATTTATGTTAGTGATATTGTTTATTAATTTGCACCCTTACAAATAATGTTATTGAAACAGCACTTATTGTAGCAAAGATGTTAAGAGCAAAATCTTTGGACTCAAATAGATTTGGATTTAAATCTAAACGATGCCACTTTGTGAAATAGGATCAAAGGCAGTTCAGTTATCCTCTCTGAGCCTGAGTTTCCTCATTAAGAGCATCTTTGCATTTCTCTAAAACTTCATGCTGGTAGCTTCTCAATTTTATGAGCTATATATATGGACATACCATCACAACTGTGGCGTGGCTGTTTTACGTGCAAATTAACCATGATGCACCGTACAGCAACAGACTTACAAATAAAGGCTTTAGATAATTCAGCTACTAACATTGATTATTCAGTCTTAGGATCATAAATGTACAAGAAAGCCAAAAAATCCTTTTGTATAGGCATAATTTTTCCTCTTTGTTAGGTGGGTTTATTTTGCTGTCCTTTTAACTCAGGTTGGATAATGATTTCATTTTCAGCCTTTTTTCTTTGTAATACAAAAGTATATATCGAATGTCCCACATAGCACCTTAGCGGCATCCCACAGTTTCATTATGATTCTGTTCTAAGTATCTTTAAATTTTCATTACGGTTGTTTATTTTCCCTATCTATGATTTAGAAGTTTTAATTTACAAATAATGGGTTTTAAAAATTGTGTTGTTGGTTTCTAAATTGTTTTGTAATCACATAATGTGATCCATGTGGTACCTGACCTTTAAAATTTGCTAAGACTTGCTCTGTTTAAAAGTAATAATAGGCCAGGTGCGGTGGCTCATGCCTGTAATCCCAGCACTTTGGGAGGCTGAGGCGGGTGGATCACGAGGTCAGGAGATCGAGACCATCCTGGCTAACACGGTGAAACCCCATCTCTACTAAAAATACAAAAAATTAGCTGGGCGAGGTGGTGCACGCCTGTAGTCCCAGCTACTCAGGAGGCTGAGGCAGGAGAATGGCGTGAACCCAGGAGGCGGAGCTTGCAGTGAGCAGAGATGGTGCCATTGCACTCCAGCCTGGGCGACAGAGCAAGACTCCATCTCAAAAAAAAAAACAAAAAAAAAAGTAATAATAATAAAGGCCAGGCACGGTGGCTCATGCCTGTAATCCCAGCACTTTGGGAGGCCAAGGTAGGAGGATTACTTGAGCCCAGGATCAGGCCGGGCAACGTAGGAGACCCTTCTTCTTTTTTTTTTGTTTTTTTTTTTGGTTTTTTTTTTTGAGACGGAGCCTTGCTCTGTTACCCAGGCTGGGGTGCAGTGGTGCGATCTTGGCTCACTGCAACCTCTGCCTCCCAGGTTCAAGCGATTCTCCTGCCTCAGCCTCCTGAGTAGCTGGGATTACAGGTGCCCGCCATCATGCCCACCTAATTTTTGTATTTTTAGTAGAGACAGGGTTTCACCCATGTTGGTCAGGCTGGTCTTGAACTCCTGACCTCAGGTGATCCGCCCGCCTCGGCCTCCCAAAGTGCTGGGATTACAGGTATGAACCTCCTTGCCCAGCTGACCCTGCTTCTATTTAAAAAAAATTTTTTTGGTAAGACTTGATTTACCCACTGATAAGTACTCAATGTATTCTCCATTTAATAGGTGAAATGTCAAATATATTTGTCCCCATGATCAAGTTTGTTCGTTGCATGGTTTTAATCTTTCTGTGTCCTGAATAATTTTTTTTCCTAGTCTGTTTTGTAAGTTACTAAGTATGCAGAGTTGCTGACGCTAATGGTGGATGTCTCAGTTCCTCACAATATTGCCAGCTTTTTGTATTTTGAATATTAGGTACATAAGAGTTTTAATTTGTTCTTTTTTAAAATGACTTTTAAAATTATTATATGGTAACCTTCTTTATTATGAATACTTGTTAATGTAGGCACACAAATAACCTTTTTTATTTATATTCTGTATGTATATTTCCCCAGTCTTTTTACTTTACTCCAGTCACTAGAAATCAGTGGTTGGTTGTTTACCTCTCTTGAATGTCTTTTTGTATTGTGGTCTCCACCGTGCATTTCATAATGCATATTTATATTTGGTCTAGCATGTTTAGAGAGTTTGCCACAGGATGGGTTTTCAGTCTGTCTTTGCTGTATTGCCAAGAACCCCCATGCATTCCTTATTAAAATGACTTCTATGTCTTTTACTGCCAACATGCTAGCCTAGCCTTTCATAAATTAATTTTCTTATTGTTCTTCCTAGCATCATTATTGTCTTCTGTAGGAAGCAAGAGAATAGTGAGAATTTGGAGACTTTGTTTTAAAACATTTGTTAAATGTTGGCAATGGATTTCTTGAAGTTGAAAGTATTTTCCTGCTATGGGGGAAACTGGGAAAGAACATTATCATCTGTCATTTGTTGTTAAAAATACTGTCTATATTATTATCAAATTAATACTTGGTAAATCATAAATTAAGTTTATCTTACTCCTGCTAGTTTGTCTGATCAACTGGGTGTAGGTATCAGTTTAAAGTGGAATTTTTTTTTTTTTTTTTTTTGAGCTGGAGTCTCACTCTGTCTGCCAGGCTGGATGGAGTGCAGTGGCGCGATCTCGGCTCACTGTAACCTCCACCTCCCGGGTTCAAGTGATTCTCCTGCCTCAGGCTCCTGAATAGCTGGGATTATAGGCACGTGCCACCATGACCAGCTAATTTTTGTAATTTTAGTAGAGACGGGGTTTTTACCATGTTGGTCAGGCTGGCCTCGAATTCCTGACCTCGTGATCTGCCCGCCTCGGGCTCCCAAAGTGCTGGGATTACAGGCGTGAGCCACCACACCCTGCCTAAAGTGGAAAACTTTAAAAATATATAATGCCTATTATATATTTTATATATATATATAACAAATAACATATTGTTTTTGATAATAAGCTATTTACATGCTTCAGTGTTTAAGAGCTAAGAATGATGACACAGTGAATTCCCAACTGCCTGTTTCCTCTTAGTACCCAGTAGTGTGAATAACTTCTAGTGTATTCTTCCTAAGATCTTCTAAACAAATGTCAACAAATGCCTATATGTCCTCTCCCACTAAACCCTTTTAACAAATAAAAACAGCATACCGTATACCCTTCTAACTGTACACCCTTCTGCAGTATACTTTTTTCACTTTAGTTTGGTGCTAATTTTATAATTACATAAAGGATTTGCTTTTTAACTATTGCATAGTAGTTCATTATTTGGATGGCTGTACCATTTTATTTTAAATTAGTTCTCCCTTTTTTTTTGGCGGGGTTGGGGGAACAGAGTCTCACTTTGTCACCCAGGCTGGAGTTAGTGGAGCGGTTTTGGCTCACTGCAACCTCTGCCTCCTGGGTTCAAGCCGATTTTCCTGCCTCAGTCTCGCAAGTAGCTGGGATTACAGGCATGCACCACCACGCCTTGCTAATTTTTGTATTCTTAGTAGCAACAGGGTTTTGCCATGTTGGCCAGGCTGGTCTCAAACTCCTGACCTCAGATGATTGATCCACCTGTCTCGGTCTCCCAAAGTGCTGGGATTACAGGCTTGAGCTGCCACACCTTGCCCTAATTATTAATAGTTCTCTGTAATGAACATTTAGGTTGTTTCAACCTTTAGCCATTTTAAACAATGCTATGATGAGTAACCACGTAATGCACATGTGCCAATTTATAGAATAAAATCCTAGGGTGAAAGGATGTTTGCCCTCGTAATTTTGGTAGTTTAATTTTGACAAGTAGGGCAAATTACCCTCCATCAAGGTTATGACAACTTAATCCTCCTCTCAATTACCGTATGCTATGTCTTTTATCAACACAGTGTACCAGATATTTTTTGTCTCTTCATCTCATGGGTAAAAATGGTAGTTTTAATATGTTTGGTCTCACTATAATAATGGAATGTATCTTTTTTTAAAGAGCTATTTCTTTTGTGACCTGCCTATTAAAATCTTTGGCTTTTTTTCCTGTGTTGTTGGGATTTTTCTTACTGATTTATAGCCGCTTTGTATGCATTAGGGAAATCAACCTTGTTGTGAGATTTAATAATGAAATGTTCATCTTATCCTCTATTTTTCTTTATACAAAAATGTTCTGCTTTTAACGTTTCTAGATTTTGGTTTAGGGAAAAATGACTATATTTCTGTGCACATGAACACACGCAGATGAACACTCTTCTACACCCAAGTTACAATGATTCCACCGTCTAGTAAGAGAAGCACGAGGCAATTTCAGATGTAAATTTTTAGGGAATACCTCTACACATTGTACTTCTTGAGTTGTTGGCCTGTATAAGCCCTGTGGAGCATGTGGAAATACTCTAGTTCCAGAACAACAAAAGTAACAGATGGCCCTGATCTGCCAACAGTGGGTACCATTTGCTTCCCCAAGTAACTTTGTATTCACAGAACGTATAGGGCAGTGCAATCTTGCCATTTTTTATTCTGCCTTGGAAGTTGTCAGCCTCCAAAAATTTTAACTGCCAGATTGATCATTACCATTCTTAGTGTATATCTTCAGAACTTTTTCTTTTCTACTTAAATAAATATATAAACAAGTTTTATTGGTTAATGTTTTGTCATTTTCATACTGTTTTTAACTTGCTTTTTAAAAAACTAATGATTTTCCAAGTTAATACATATTTTCCTTATATAGGGCTACATCGTAATTCATTGTTTCACTGTATTTTTTTTTTTTTTTTTTTTTTTTTTTTTGAGACAGAATCTTGCTCTGTCTGCCAGGCTGGAGTGCAGTAGCATGATCATAGCTCACTGCAGCCTTGACCTCCTAGGATCAAGCAATCCTCCCACCTTAGCCTACTGAATAGCTGGGACTACAGGCACACACCACCATGCCCAGCTAATTTTTGTATTTTTTTGTAGTTAGGGTCTCACCACGTTGCCCAGGTTGGTCTTGAACTCCTAGGCTCAAGTGATCTGCCCACCCTGGCCTCCCAAAGTGTTGGGATTACAGGCATGAGCCATTATGCCTGGCTCTTACTGTATATTCTTATACTTAATCTTTTGCAATTTTTGCTGGTGTTTCTGTAGACTGTATTCTTTGCATTGGGATCATTGGGTCAAGACCTATATTTAATTATAATTTTTATAGATATGCTCAAGTGAACCTTCAAGATAATCCTGTCGGTGGGGTATGAGTTGAACACTGGCATTAAAAAAAATAAAAATAAATAAATAACAGTAAAAAAATTCTCCTACCTGATTCTGGAAGACTTCTGTGTAAGAAACACTCCTTCATTTAAATGATCTTATGGCCCACAAAGGACATCTTAGCACCTCTGCATGGTGTCTGAGACTGCCAAATTTAACTCAGGTTCTCCAATCTGATCTTGCTGCAAATCAACCAAAAAACATCTACTACCAAGCTCTACTCTTCCCTTCCTCATGGACACAGCGTGCTTGTTTCCATCTATAGATCTCAGTCTTTCGCACGCTTCCCACTGAGTGTCACTTCTTAAAAACCTGATGTTCCTCTGTCACACCACACCAACCATTCAGCTCTATCCAGGCCACATTAGTTTTTTGTCTTCTTTGAATTTTTGTCTACTTTGCTTTTTTATTATTTTATATCTAAAAAGCAGCATAAAATTCTTTAAACGTGTCATTTTACTGACATTCTTAGCAAGATTATTATGCAGTACTTAGTATTCAACAAATTTTTAAAGTACTTTTCAATTATTTATAAAGATACTTTACAAAGTATCTTTGAAATTCTACATGTAGATTTCTTGTTTTGTACATTTAAATAGCTTTTTCTAAAACTAAACTTTGATAAATACTGCTTTCAGGTGTATGGTTGAAGCCTGGAATTTTTTGCGGCAACATTGCAATAGGTTGAATATAGAGGAGTTACTGAAGCACATGTATGAAGTCTGTCAGGAAATGGGCTTGATGGAAGATTTACTGAAGTTACCATTTACAGACACTGAGCAGGTAATTACTTACCGATGTAAACTTGTCAGAAATTCAAGATAAATTGGTAGTTTACAATCTATTTTGTTCTTTTTAGGAATGTTTAGTGAAATTTTTGCAGTCCAGTGCCAGCGTTCAGAATCATGAATTCCTTTTAGTGCACCATTTGCAGCGTGCCAATTATGTGCCTGCCTTGAAGCTGAACCAAACTCTGAAGATTAATGTTATGGTACGATTAAAGTTGTCTTATTATGGGGGATAAGAGAATAAGGAAAACTGGAGGCTTTTTTGGTTGTTATATAAGAGCTTACAGTTTGGTAACCACTGTGCCTAGCATTACCTTGAACTTGGAGAATCCTCAGTTCATCTCTGTAACAGAATTGGGAACAGGGTATTACCACGTAATTCTTTTACGTATGCCATTTATGTTCTGATGTCTGCCTACAATATTGCCATTTCACTCAGGGAAAACAAGAGGAAGATGTAGAGGCCAGCAGTAGGAGTTACATAGTACAAAGATCATTGTGTGGTAGAGGAAGACGTAGAGGCCAGCAGTAAGGGTTATATAGTACAAAGATCATTGGACTTCAAGGGTCAGACTAATTCTTCATTTACTCTGTGTGCTTGGGACACACTCTGAGTCTTGCTTTTATCAACTGTAAAATGATAAAATCTCCTTGTGAGGTTGTTTTGAGGATGCACAGAGATGTGTGTGAAGTAGAATGTTGCCTGACACATGGATGCTTAATAACCATTGTTTTTATTAATTGTGAAGAATCAAGGCTTGGTAGCGAGATTTGGAATTTATTGATGGGTAAGGATTGATAAAAAAATTAGATATGTGGATGAAGTTCTTGGTTTGGAAAAATGGATATGTAGGTAGGGGGAAGATTTTTTGGATATTCATAGTTTTATTTTAAATGGTAAATATAGAATTACAGCACCTAACATTTTGAAGGTTAAATTTTTTACCAATTTTGATGTTTAATAGAATGATCGTGATCCTCGTTTGCGGGAGAGATCACTGGCTCGAAATTCTATATTAGACCAGTATGGAAAAATCCTTCCTAGAGTCCATCGAAAATTAGCCATTGAACGAGCTAAGCCTTATCATCTGTCAACATCATCAGTTTTTCGATTAGGTAAGAATTTCATTGAAGAATATCATAATCTATTGGATCAAAAAAGATACTGAATGATTACTTTTCTGAAACCACCTTAAATTTAGCTACTTTCGCTAACACATACAGGCATGCCTTGGAGATATTGCTGGTTTGGTTCCAGATCACTGCAATGAAGTGACTATCACGAGAAAGCTAGTCCTCTGAAGTTTTGGTTTCCCATTGCATAATGTTTACACTATACTTCTAAGTGTGCAGTAGCATTATTCTTAAAACCAGTGTACATACCTTAATTTTGAAATGCAATATTGCTAAAAAATGCTAAGGATCATCTGAGCCTTCTGTGAGTCGTAATCCTTTTGCTAATAAAGGATCTTGTCTCAATGTTGATGGCTGCTGACTGATCAGCATGGTGACTACTGAAGGTTGAGGTGGCTGTGACAGTTTCTTACGATGACACAGTGAAGTTGGCCATGTCAATTTACTCTTCCTTCCACTAGAGTTTCTCTGTAGCATGTGATACCATTTGATAGCATTTTAGCCATAGAACTTCTTTCAAAATGAGTCACTCCTCTCAAACCCTGCCTCTGCCCTGTCATCTTAAGTTTATGTAATTTTCTAAATGCCTAGTGAGTAACAAACTACTCTACAAGAAGGCAGGTTTTGGTCAATCGGACTTTTTATTATTTGGCTTCTAAGTAAGGAGGACAACACCGGGGAGGATTCTCCAAAGCAGTGTCCAGCTGAGGGAAGGTGACAGGAGGGTTTTATGGAGAGGGGAGAGGTTGTGTCATTGTATGTAAGGGAGTGTCCAGCTGAGGGAAGGTGACAGGAGGGTTTTATGGAGAGGGGAGAGGTTGTGTCATTGTATGTAAGGGAGTGGTCCCAGTTGTGTAGACTTAGTTACTATGTCAGTATATAGGTCGCATGTCATGGTAAGGAAGTCGTAGCACCTCCTGGGGTGGAGACTTCAGTATGGTGGTAAAGAAAGTTCATTCTGGTTTATCTATAATATAAGTTGTTGGCCTGTCAGGAGATGGTTTTAACAAAGTAGGTGACTAATATTTTACATGGGGTTTAGGAAGAAACTGGCTAAATAGCAGGAGGCTGTAAAACAGGCTGATTGTTGATTAAATTTCTATAATCCTGGGAGACTCTGTCTGTTTACAAATTTTCCCCCTAGAAGTATGTCACTCCTCATTCTTGAGGGCTGAGAGCCGGAGGTCAGGTTTTTTTGTAACTTTTTAATGTTGTTCAGGGATATGTGTCTGGAGATGTTAAAGGAGTGAAAATTTTTAGATGCTAAATTTAAATATATTTCAGGATCTCTCAGGATAGGTTGTAATGGCTGGTATTGTAGTAAGACCAGCTGTAGTTGAATTTTTTTTAATTTGGAAGATACAAGTTTTATTGAGAGGTTCAAGACGTAGGGATAAGTTAATGTTAAACAGGGTGAAGGGAAGGAATCCAAGGCAGCCTGGCAGTGGGTTTTATATTTTTTTGGGTGGCCGTTTCATGACCACCATGTCAAGTTGGTTAGAAAAATGAGCCACCACCCTTTTTAGTGGTCCTAGCATTTGGGTAAGTGCTCCCCCAGCTAGCTGTTCCCTTCCTTTTATGGGACAGATAAGTCAAAAGGTTTAGCAAGTTAAGCAAGGCTACAGTGGGAGCAGCAGTCACTTTTTGTTTGCTTGGCATGTAGAGGAATACATGCCTCAGAGGGACACGTATTTGTCTGAAGATAGAGACATTTAATAGTTAATGTTATTTGGCTTTAGGTGTCATCTTTATGCAAGGGAGACAGAGGCCCACCTCAAAGATGGTCTCAGTCTCTTTAGTCAGCTGAAATTTTATCGTAATTTGTTGGCATGTCTACTTGTATATACTAGAAACTGGAGTTTGGCACCCTTTGTCATGAGTTTTATTTAGTGGGTTGTCTCTAATATTAAAAAAGATTATAAAATACTAAATATTTTTAATAATAAAATATTAATGGTGATTGTGTCAGGACAGGAGTGAGTTGTATTGAGGTGGCAGGTGGCAGTGTCAGAAGCAGCAAGCGGGTACCTCCCTGTTGGGTCAGATCTTATGTCAGCGTAGTAAGTCTGTGTTGGACGAATATCCTAGTGCCTGTATGTATGTTTCACCTATCGTTGAATAGTTTAGTAGGACTTATACAGTAAGTAGTATTTACTATACATGTGTTAGTCAAGGTGACACAGGGAACGTTTTTGTGGAGGGGATAACTGCAGGAAAGGGGAGCTTGCTCCAGTTTTGTGGGGTGAAAGTGAAGTTTGGGGTCACCACAAATTGCATGGCTTGGACAGGCTAGGCTTGTGGGTGTCTCTAGTATATTCAGTATAGGACAGATTCTTTCCCTTTGCTGTGATGCAAGAGAAATCGACTTAGTGTATTGTCTCTAGTATATTTAGTATTGGGACAGATTCTTTCCCTTTGCTATGATGCAGGAGAAATTGACTAGTGTATTGTCTCTAGTATATTTATTATTGGGACGGATTCTTTCCCTTCACTGTGATGCAGGAGAAATTGACTAGTGTATTGTCTCTAGTACATTTAGTATTGGGACGGATTCTTTCCCTTCGCTATGATGCAGGAGAAATTGACTAGTGTATTGTCTCTAGTATATTTAGTATTGGGACGGATTCTTTCCCTTTGCTGTGATGCAGGAGAAATTGACTAGTGAATTGTCTTTCCAGAGACCATCAGCCACAGTAATAAAAGGGACTAAACAGCACAGGGAGAAAGAGTCTATTTTTTTATATGGTGATTTATCACCGGTTAAGATTTTTTTCTTTTACAGAAGAGTAATGAGTATAGAGAGTTCTATAAGGGAGAAAGTTTGAATATATCAAGAGTATGGCAAGGGCACATTTACTTAACATGTAATATCCCTTCCCCAGAAGAGAAGCTTGAGATCAGAGACTGGCTTATAGGAATAAGTCGAACCTAGTAGCGCCTGATCTGAGGGCTCTGGTGCAGGATTCACTCAGGAATGATGGCTTTTAGGGTCTGAGCCCCTGAAACTTAGGAGAAGAGTGAGTGCTTAATAATACATGGTCCAAACAGTTTAGTTGGTCTGGAGGCGATTTGGATTTTTGAGTCTTAAGGTGAACCCGGTCTCTAGGTTAATATGGGTGAAGCTTAACCTCAGTGGGAACTAGAAGTTTGTGGTTTCACATGTTTTAAGAGTTTGTATTTTTAAAAATCTACAGCATGTTTTACTGCCCTCTTGGTCTCGACAGCAGCACACTTCGAAGGTTCAATCATGCCAAGCAAGCTCTTCTATATAGTGATTGGAAAGGGCCAAGTCCCATTCCCTTTCAGCACCCATGATAGTGCGATGGGAAGGAGCTTTAGTCAGTTTTTGAGTTTCCTGGCATAGTTTGGCTAGCGTGATCCTTATGTTTTATTACTATGCTTGACCTTTTTAGATGAATGAGGTTTCTTAAGTTATGTGTAACCTCCTCTATTTAATTTCCAAGGCAGAGGACACCCCCTAAGTAACTTTGTAAATGAAGGCAGTTCTGTTGTCACTCTGGATTGGTTGGAGTAAGCCAGAACCTCAAGATGATGTCTTTGAGTAAAGCTCTGACCACCTCATTTGTCTTTTTGTGTGTGACAAGGGTGTATCCCTTTTATTTAGCCAGTAAAGGTGTCTACACTAGTAGGTACCTGAAGTTTTTGGGTCCTGGGGCATCACTGTAAAGTCTTCTTGTCAGTCTTTTCCTGGCGTGCCACCCCAGCTGGACAGCTTGGGTTAGTGGAGTCACAAGGGAGCCCGATCTGAGTATTATTTTGTACAAATTGGAGACACCTGTTAGATCCTTGATCTGTTTTATCTTTTAGATCAGGTATCTTTAGTAACTAATTGCGTAAGGTTTGTTTTGTTTTGTTATTTACCATAATGTGATGATCTATGACCATATTTAGTTAGAGACCACCCTAGGTTTTTGGGAATCTAGGTTCTTTTTTTTTTTTTTTTTTTGTCATTAATAGTTCATCTTTCTGAATCTAAGTGTGGAAAATACCCTTTGCGTTTGGCTTTAACTCCTGAGGTGAACACTGAGGCTGGGACTTGTGGAGTAGGATGTCTGGGATCAGGGTCATTTGTAAAGTTCACATGTTTGTGTTGTCTTTTTAGTAGCTGTGTCTTTAGGTTGTTATTATTTTTTAATAACCTCAAATTTTTATTTTTTATTTTTTTGTGACCCTGGCAGTAGGCCACTGCTACCCTTTTAGGTAGCTATACTGCTGCCTCTAATAGCTGTAATGTTTTTAATATTATTAACCTCCTTATAGTCTGCAGTCAGGAGGCCTCAAAAAAAAATGCACTGTAGGCATGGATTACAGAGAAAGCATACTTAGAGTCTGTGGAGACATGATGGCCTTAGCCTGTCCTGAAGATGAGGCTCATCTAGTCAGGGTTCACAGAGGTAGGCTGTTAGCCTCTTTAACTCCAAGTGAGGACAGCACTGTATACCTTGTTTTTCTGGGCCCCTTTCTGTGATGTTACTCTGATTTACGAAGAAAGGCTTTGTTAACTTGAGAGTTCTGAAAGGGTTTGTTTTTTAGGTCCTTTTGACTAGAATACATTTTATCAGTAGTGGTTGAGTATTTGTGTGGGAGCAGTTCCTGGGAGGTGGAAAGAAACATGGCAGGGTTAAGTAAGGATCTGGCACACCTTGATGTGGCTGCCTCTTAATTTAACTTTTTATTGTAACATCCTCCCATCAGTAAGCGAGTGGTGTCTCTGTTTTTAGCACTCTGGATAACTGAGGACCTAGACCATTAATGTCTGAGTCATGGTTTGTTTTTAAGCTTTTCTCACTAATAGGCAAGTAGTAACCACTGTCCTAAGACATGGGGGCCTTTTGGTGGCCACCATGTCAAGTTGGTTAGAAAAAAATGAGCCACCACCTTTTTTAGTGGTCCTAGCATTTGGGTAAGTGCTCCCCTGGCTAGCTGTTCCCTGCCTTTTATGAGACAGATAAGTCAAAAGGTTTGGCAACTTAAGCAAGGCTACAGTGGGAGCGCAGTCACTTTTTGTTTGCTTGGTTGTTTTTAGTTTTTCGAAGGCTCAGTTGTATTGTTTGTCTTCTTTAAAAGGGTCTGACTCCAGCTCTTGTAGCTTTTTATAAAAAGGCTTTGTTAAAATACCCGAATTGGGAATTTATATGTGACAGAATCCGGCCATTTTCAAGAATTTTTGGTTCTGAGGAGGAGGTATTTGATACACAGCCATTTTCCTGTCCTGGGAAGGACACCCCTGTCCCTGAGAAATTAAATAGCCTAGGGCTTTTTTTTTTTTTTTTTGAGGTTTTATACCCTCTTTTAGCTAGAAAGTTTAGGGTACAGTATTTATACTAGATTCCTCTTTAGAGGAGCTAGTAATTAAAATATTGCTTACATATTATACTTTTCTCTTTTAAATGTAAAATTCCTATAATCCCTGGAGACCCTCTATCTGTTTACACTTTATCATTTCAACACTGTAGATTCTGTCTCAAGAAACCACTTGTTTGCCTATCTGTAAGAAGCAATTCCTCATTTATTCATGTTTTATCATGAGATTACAGCAATTCATCACATCTTTAGTCTGTTTTTGTTTTTTTAAGAGACAAGGTCTTTGTCTGTCACAGATGCTCTAGTACAGTGGTATAATCATAGCTCATTGTAGCCTTGACCTTCTGAGCTCAAGTGATCCTCCTGCCTCAGCTTTCCGAGTGGCTGAGACTGCAACCGTGCCTGGGTATTTTTTGTAGAGAGGGCCTCACTATGTCGCCCAGGCTATTCTCAAACTCATGGCCTCAAGTGATCCTCCCACCTTGGCCTCCAAAAGTACTGGGATTACAGGCATGAGCCATCATGCCTGGCCTAGGCTCTGCTTCTCATTCTAGTTCTCTTGCTCTTTCCCCCATATCTGCAGTTGTTTTCTCCACTGAAGTCTTGAAGCCCTCAAAAGTTATTCATGAAAGATGGAATCACCTTCTTACAAACTCCTTTTAATGTGCATAGTTTGACTCCTCCCAGGAATTATGAATGTGCTGAATGGCATCTAGAATGGTGAATCCTTTCCAGAAGGTTTTCAAAGGACTTTGTTCGGATCTCTCAGAGGAATCACTATCTGTGACAGCTATAGCTTTATGAAATGTATTTCTAAATTATATCTTGAAAATTGCGATTACTGTGATCCAGGGTTACAGAATGGATGTTGTGTTTTCATGCCTGCTAACAGCATTCGTCTCCCTGTACATCATCAGGGCTCCTGGGTGACCAGGGGCATTATCAGTGAGCAGTAATATTTGAAAAGACTTTTTTTTTTTTCTGAACAGTTCTCAACAGTAGGCTTAAAATATTCGGTAAACCATGCTGTCAACAGATGTGTTTTCATCTAGGCTTTTTCCATTGATAGAAGACAGGCATAGTAGATTTCCCATCATTTTTAAGGGCCTTAGGAATTTTGGAATGGTGATTGCCTTTAATTTAAAGTCATCAGCTACATTAACCACTAACAGCAGAGTCACCCTGTCCTTTGAAGCCAGGCATTGACTTCTCCATTCATGTGTTCACTGACGTAGCACTTTTAATTTCCTTCAGGTTCTTTTTTGCATTTACAACTTGGCTAACTGGCATAAGAGGTCTAGCTTTTGATTTAAAGTCCTAGACATGTGACTCCTCCTTTCACATGAACACTTGAGGTCTTTGTAGGGTTATTAGTTGGCTTTGGATATTGTCAGTCTCAAGGAATAAGGGAGGTCCTCGGGGAAAGGGAGAGACGCGGGGGAACAGTTAGTCAGTGGAGTAAGTACACGCTGTTGGAAAAATGGTGCCAGTAGACTTGCTGGACACAGGGTTGCCACAGACCTTCAATTTGTTTAAAAAAACAAAACACACGGCCGGGCGTGGTGGCTCACGCCTGTAATCCAGCACTTTGGGAGGCCAAGGCGGGCGGATCACGAGGTCAGGAGATCGAGACCATCCTGGCCAACATGGTGAAACCCCGTCTCTACTAAAAATAGAAAAAGTTAGCCAGGCATGGTGGCGGGCGCCTGTAGTCCCAGCTACTCAGCAGGCTGAGGCAGGAGAATGGCGTGAACCCGGGAGGCAGAACTTGCAGTGAGCCGAGATCACACCACTGCACTCCAACCTGGGTGACAGAGCGAGACTCCATCTCAAAAAAAAAAAAAAAACAAAAAACACACACACAATGAAGCAAAGCACAATAAAATGAGGTAGACCTGTACTCATTCATCACGTGGTACTTTTTTATTGGCTGCTCTGTAACCCAAGAAATGTAAGCCTTTCTTAGAAGATTTGACTGTTTATTTACTAGTGTATGCATAATGAAAGAACTCCTATTTCAGTTGAAGGCACATGTCCAACTTCTAGAAAACACAAAGAATAACTTTTTTTTTTTTTTTTTTTACCACTTACCAAAAGCCCAACTTCCTAAATCCAGCATAGCTATAATGAAACAAAATGTAGGCCAGGCCGGTGGCTCACACCTCTATCCCAGCACTTTGAGAGGCCGAGGAGGGAGGATCACTTGAGGCCCGGAGTTTGAGACCAGTCTGGCCAACATGGTGAAACCCTGTCTCTACTAAAAATACAAAAATTGCCAGGCGCAGTGGCTCACGCCTGTAATCCCAGCACTTTGGGAGGCCAAGGCGGGTGGATCACATGAGGTCAGGAGTTCAAGACCAGCCTGGCCAACATGGTGAAACCCTTTACTTTAGAATACAAAAATTAGCGTGGTGGCACATTCCTGTAGTCCCAGCTACTCGGGAGGCTAAGGCAGGAAAATCACTTGAGTCTGGCAGGCAGAGGTTGCAGTGAGCCAAGATTGTGCCACTGCACTCCAGCCTGGGCTACAGAGCAAGACTCCGTCTCAAAAAAAAAAAAAAAAAATTAGCCGGGCTTGGTGGCCATGCCTGTAATCCCATCTACTTGGGAGGCTGAGGCAGGAGAATCGCTTGAACCCAGGAGGCAGAGGGTGCAGTGAGCCGAGATCATGCCACTGCCCTCCAGCTTGAGTGACACAGCAAGACTGGTCTAAAAGAAAAAAAATTAATTATATATATATAATTAAAATTTTTAGCTAGTATTACCACGTAATGTGTGTGTGTGTGTGTGTGGGGGGGGGGGTGTAATCATTCTTTCATATGCTTTTATTAAATTCCCGTTTGTTAGAGATGCACTTAATTCCAGCGTTCTTCATTTTACAGTTTCTAGACCCAAACCATTATCAGCAGTTCCAAAGCAAGTTGTAACAGGAACTGTGTTGACAAGATCTGTTTTCATCAACAATGTGTTATCTAAAATTGGAGAAGTTTGGGCAAGCAAAGAACCTATAAATAGCACCACACCTTTCAATAGGTATGTTTTCTTACACGTTTCATAGTCATGCTGCTTGTTAATCTTTACTGGACATCAACAGCGTTCATCAACAATCCACTCTCTTTGCCTAAGTTTATTAGTGTATGTAAAAAAGAAAAACTCTTTATGTTGGCTATGTTTCTGAGAAGAATTTTTAAAAACCTTTAAAAGTGAAATGTTCATTATTATTTGTAAGCAATGCAGAACTGTACAAAGTAAAACGAATGAAAACCCTCTGTTCTCCCATCTCATCCACTTGTTATCAGTGCTCCTTGTGATACATCAGAAGTTAAATTTTTATTTTCATAGTTCTAAAATAGAAGAACCATCTCCTATAGTGTATTCGCTCCCAGCTCCAGAGCTGCCTGAGGCATTTTTTGGAACACCAATTTCAAAAGCATCACAAAAAATTTCTAGGTAAGAGTTTATTAAATCATTCTTAGAGACACAATGTTAGATGATAGTTACAATTGTAATTTTTAATTATCTTTAACATTTTATAGACTTTTAAATTATTAAATGAATATTTTAATGTTTGCTTTTTATTATACTTTGGGCAGCAGTAATTTTAGGAAATTTTACATCAGGTAGTAGTATACTTAAAATTTTTGTTCAATAATTTCAGACTGCTTAGTGGACAGGAGTGAAGTTTGTCTCATGAGCAAACTATTAACTTACTTTCCTTGTTACCTGCTTGTTAGTAGACCTCTAAATGAGGGTTGTTTTTATACTTAATTACAGATTAATCTTGGGTAGCTCATTGAAGCTTTCTTCTGTTGAACAGTGCCTACTAAAATGTCTTGTGTTGCTTCAGATGCAGCACGTTTACATCTTACCTGTGGTGTTAAGTTGAAGTTTTGTATCCAAGATGAAATTGTGATTGCAAGTATTTACTTACGAGCATTGGTTAGTTGAAAAGTGTTCATAATTATGTACCACAGAGAACAGAGTATGTCTCTTCATGTATTGATTCTTTGTCCTTAATATGCCCAGGATCTTTGGAAATTTTTGATTGTTTTATCAAAGACAAAATTACATTGTTTAAAGTATTTATAATGATTATAAATAATCATTACAAGACTCTGAATTTTTGATGCTAAGAAAAAGATACTTGAGATAAGGTCATACAAACAACTGAGGCCAGAAGTACAGAGTGTAGTTTAATGGACATATGTTAAACCTTGAAAGGATTTTTCTTTTTTTGGACTAAATTTAGTTAGGTTGTTTCCCTTTATTTACTCTGGTAAGATGGTATTTTAAATGGAAAGAAGATATTTTAAATGAAAGTCGTTATTACCGACATTCTTTTTTTCTACCAATAGTTCGGATTTTTTTTTCTGCAAGTCCCCTTTTCTTGGTCTTTTTGTAATTTAATGGCTCTGAGGTTGCGGGGAGCAATAATAGAAGTTGAAAGGCCTTTGATTAATGGCCTGAGGCCCTTAAAGAAGTATTATGAGCATTTTTTAAAGCCAGTGTTAACTCAGATGTAAGAGAGCCAGTTGAGTTTTGAATATTTACCTTCTGTGTTTTTCATGCTGAGTTTGCATTACTGGGTAGACAGTATAGCCTGCAATGAAATAAGGCAGAATAGATAACATCCGTGGGTACATCATATAGTAAGGCTGAAGTGCTAATTTATGTAATTGATGTTTTATTTTTATGTGATATAGGATGCATTCTTTATATGGATTATGGTAAAAAAAAATTAGCTCTAACAAGTAAAAAGTTACATAAATCAATTTTTTAAATACCACTATAGATTTTTGAAAATAACCTTGCAGATAGTAATGAAATCAGAAAAGGTTAGTTCTGAAAGAATATTTGGTCTCAGGGTTGAAGACCTGAGACCTAATGCAATATTTAACATTTCATTTAGAAAATACCTTAAAAAGATTTCTCAGAACCTTTAAACTATTAAGTCTTGATGATACAGAAGTTTTGCTTTGACTTGGTAGGTAGCTTTTGTTGCACAGTCCTTGCTTTTGAGAAGCATTCATTCATAAATAGGTGCCTTAAACATAAATATTAACACAATGCAAAACATTTAACAGTGTTCCTTTGGGATAGCTCAGTATAAAAGTGAGCAAACTGTTTTCCAAGTTTGGATCGAATCCAAGTACAGAATTTAAATGCAAACAAGATAGAGAAAGAAGAGAATCTAGAAGAAAAGAAATGTCTAGCAGCCTGATTGGATATTCTTGGTTTGGTGGAAATCTAAAAGCTGTGTTTGATACAGAGTAACAAGTGGGAAGACATTGAAATATTTCCCCATTATCACCTGTGTTGGTCTACCGCTCCTAATAGCAAAACTCTCATTTGATAGATAGAATGACAAGGAAGGTACTGCAACTACAAGTTTTTATTTCTGGGCTCCAAAGCATACTCTCCTTTTCTGGTTATTCTCAGGTGAGCCACTTTGGCATTTGGGGGAAATAAAAAGGGATTGTTTTTACCACTAGGAAATACAACCATAAGATAGACTGTTTATTAGGAAATCGAGAAGAGAGTGACCTGTGCAAATGGTCCACCAAAAATTACCACCTGAAAACCCGACTTTTGAGTTTAAATTTATCTGTAAATTAAGCTTTAAAACTTACTTGGATTATACATGCTCAGTACAAGTAATCAGTGGGATCAGTTTTATCATTGGGACTAGGACATTACGGAAAACCTTGTAGTAGAATCTTAAAGTTGTACTTTGTCACCAAACTCATTGACTTGAAAAAATTAACTTTTGGTTGTGGTGGTGGGTGTGGGTTGTCAGTCTAGTCTTTTTTTTTTTTTTTTTTTTTTTTTTTTTTTTTTTTTTTTTTTGAGACGGAGTCTCGCTCTGTCGCCCAGGTCGGACTGCGGACTGCAGTGGCGCAATCTCGGCTCACTGCAAGCTCCGCTTCCCGGGTTCACGCCATTCTCCTGCCTCAGCCTCCCGAGTAGCTGGGACTACAGGCGCCCGCCACCGCGCCCGGCTAATTTTTTTTTTTGTATTTTTAGTAGAGACGGGGTTTCACCTTGTTAGCCAGGATGGTCTCGATCTCCTGACCTCATGATCCACCCGCCTCGGCCTCCCAAGTCAGTCTAGTCTTTATTGTAATCAGAACCATAAAGGCAAAATGAACCAATATTCATTATATATATTACATGTAGGTGAATGGATATTTTGCATGTTAATGAATTTTAGTAAATAGATTGCCAGGGAAGCCTTGTCCTGTTTTCTTTAGTATTTTAAATCATTGGCAGTTCATCTTCATTTGAAAATAAATGCCAGGCACATAGTAAGAGCTCAGTAAATATAGGTAAAGGGAAGGAGGACGACGCAAACTCTTTTTAAAAATCAGTTGCTATGTGCAGTTCTTAATTCTGTTTTGCGATGAATAATTTTCTGACTTTTTGAATGCATGGTAGCACTTTGGATTACATTAATATACTTGACTGTATTTGCATGTGGC
The DNA here is from genome assembly GCF_000001405.40 of Homo sapiens. Lineage (NCBI taxonomy): Eukaryota > Metazoa > Chordata > Mammalia > Primates > Hominidae > Homo > Homo sapiens. Next base: position 246,864,214 of record NC_000001.11, on the reverse strand, counting down.
TATCATAGTTACCAGTGAATATAGAGGTCTGATTAAATGGGATACTAAATTCTTTTGTTTTTTCAGTATAACTCAATAAATGCGCATTCTGATTACAGACTGCTAGATTTGGTTGTTCAGCCTGTCCCCCGGCCTTCTCAGTGTTCGGAGTTTATTCAGCAAAGCTCCATGAAATCTCCTTTGTACCTAGTATCCCGTTCACTGCCCTCAAGTTCGCAATTAAAAGGATCGCCTCAGGCCATCTCCAGGGCTTCAGAATTACATTTGCTTGAAACTCCTCTTGTAGTTAAGGTTAGTATTTACGCATCTAGCGTTCACAATCAAACTAGATGGCTCTTACTTTTCAAGTAGCAAGGAGAAAAATAAGCAATTTATAACTGATACGCTTGGGGAGTGCTGGGAAATGCTTTAAGCATCCTTTTATGTTTTCACATCTTCTAAAAACGGAGCTAATTAAATTTATCCCTTCCTGCTTAAAGTTAACATTATTTTCTTAAAGGTAATATAGGGTTCTGTGTGGTTGTGAATTTGCCTTTGTCCTTTGTAATACTTTCAGGTTCTTGAGTTTGTTTTTATTTCATTTTTATGTAAGCTCCATTTCTGATATCATTATGCTGTTATTTCTTCTATCAAATGCTATTTAGTTCTTTGGTTTATTTGTATTTATTTAAATTCTTTGACAAAACTGTTACTCCTTGCTACTTTGGTTTATCCCTCTTTAAACTGCCTTTTCCCATCTCCTAAGTTATTAGCTGAGAAATCACAGCACTCAACTTGTGATATCTGCTAGTGGTGGCCTTTTTAAACCTTTCCATTTTTAAAGTTTTGTTTTTTTTTTTTTAAACATACTATCTCCCTAGCCCCTTGACTAATGTTCTGGATTGAAACCCAGAAGCTTTATTTCTCCCTCACCCCTCCCCATTGTCCCTGGGTTCTCTGTTTGGATATCCAGCATTTATAGTGAAGCTAGGGAATCCTTATTTTTCAAGTTGAATAAAAGATACCTCAATAAGTGCTCTTCCTAAAATACTTATTAAAATAAGTTGAAAAGATTAGGTTTCAATAATTTAAAATATTCAGTATAGTATTTTTTCATTTGTCAAAAATAAATCACACTTTGTATTCTCTACAGCTAGGTTCAAATGAAATGAAATTGGAGGAATTTTATACCTGCTGCCAGAATAGTCTAGAAAAAAGAATTGTTATGATCTTGTAACATGTCTAACAGAATTTATTATGATCTAATGGGATTCAGTAATTTGTTTACTAGGCCTTTAGAGGCCAAGTGAAGGAATTATCTCTACTAAATAAATTTACATGCTAATTTCAGATTATTTGTATTCATTATACGAAATCTTCAGAGGATTCTGATACATAATTTGGTTATTATTGGATTCGTGTGACGAAATTTTTTTTCTGAAACACTACAGTCAGTCTTACTGTAGTTTTCTGTAATTAGATTTGTATAATTCTATAATTTAAGTAATTTATCTTACTAATTGGCACTTTTTTAGTTGAATTTAAGTTGGAAATAATGCTTTTAGAAAGATGGATGCAGTTTTATGTTTCGTAGACTTACGTATAAAAAGCTCTGGAAGAATTTTGTATTTTCTTTGCAGAAATCTGGAATAAATATTTCTATTGATATGTTTATTGGAGATGAGATGAGAATATAACCACTATTGTGACTCAGTTGACCCCATCTGTTTTTATATAAGCACTTTTTTTTTTTTTTGAGACGGAGTCTTGCTCTGTCGCCCAGGCTGGAGTGCAGTGGCGCAATCTCGGCTCACTGCAAGCTCCACCTCCCGGGTTCATGCCATTCTCCTGCCTCAGCCTCCCAAGTAGCTGGGACTACAGGCGCCCGCCACCCCGCCTGCCTAATTTTTTGTATTTTTAGTAGAGACGGGGTTTCACCGTGTTAGCCAGGATGGTCTCGATCTCCTGACCTGGTGATCCGCCTGCCTCTGCCTCCCAAAGTGCAGGGATTACAGGCGTGAGCCACCGCGCCCGGCCTATAAGCACTTTTAATGGTGTAATTCCATTTGCTCTTTACTATAGAAAGCTAAAAGTTTGGCCATGTCAGTTACTACTTCTGGATTTTCTGAGTTCACTCCTCAGTCCATCCTGAGGTCTACTCTTCGATCAACACCTTTAGCATCTCCCTCTCCATCACCTGGAAGGTCTCCTCAACGACTTAAAGAAACTAGAATTTCATTTGTGGAAGAAGATGTCCACCCAAAATGGATTCCTGGGGTAAGTTTGATAATAATTGGGAGAAAAGACATTTTTTAATAAGAATGTATTAGCTCTGACAAGTAAAAAGTTAGATAAATCAAGTTTTTAAATACCACTATAGATTTTTGTATATAATCTTGTAGCTAGTAATGAAATAAGAAAAGGTTAGTTCTGAAAGAAACACTAGGGCCATTGGCTAAGCCAAACCCATCATCTTACAGATAAATAGGACTCGGAAGCACCAAGTAAGTTGGCTGTAGTCAGCTAGATGTATGGTGGTAGAATTGGGAGTAGGATTCAAACCTCCTAATTTTTAGTCCTTCTTTTATCTTTGTTTTTACCTTATATTGTGTTGTTTCTAACTAGTTATATGTTTTTGAGGGTGTGTCTTGAGGTCCACTGTAGGTTAATAGGAACCTTTCAGTGATTATTGGTCATCTAGCCTGTTCTGTGTTGTAGTCTTCTGAAAATACTGGTATATTACCAATTAGGGAAACATTAGCCACCATTAACTTTTACGTACTAGAAGAGAATGGATTTAGAATAAATGAATTTTTATTAAGGAGAGAATTTGGGTAAAAACAACAAAGAAAGTATGGGTATGATTGGGATGGGTAGCTTAGGACTAGACTTAACTGTGATATTTACTAATTTTTTTCTTTTCAAAATCTTACTTTACAGGCTGCAGATGATAGCAAATTAGAAGTATTTACTACACCTAAAAAATGTGCAGTTCCAGTGGAAACTGAATGGCTGAAGAGCAAAGATAGGACCACATCTTTTTTCCTGAACAGCCCTGAAAAGGAGCATCAAGAAATGGATGAGGGGTCACAAAGTTTAGAGAAACTGGATGTGAGCAAAGGAAACAGCAGTGTTTCAATCACATCCGATGAGACTACCTTAGAGTATCAGGATGCACCGTCACCGGAAGACCTTGAAGAGACTGTTTTCACGGCCTCTAAGCCCAAAAGCTCTTCCACTGCACTAACTACTAATGTAACTGAACAAACTGAAAAGGATGGAGATAAAGATGTATTTGCATCAGAAGTAACTCCTTCAGACCTACAGAAACAAATGGGTAAGAACTCATTTCTGAATACTCAAAATTGTTATTAATGTCCCTCAATAAAGTTTATAATAGAATTTTTTCCACCATAAGAAAAGCATCCTAGCCAGGTACTGTGGCTCATGCTAGTTAATCTCAGCACTTTGGGAGGCTGAGGCTGGAGGATTGCTTGAGCCCAGGAGTTCAAGACCAGCCTGGTCAACATAGCGAGGCCCTGTCTTTACAAAATAGAAATTTAAAAATTAGCCAGGCATGGTGGGAGTGTTCAGAAGTTTGAAACCTCAGTGAGTCATGATTGCACCACTGTACTTTAGCCTGCGTGACAGAGCAAGACCCTATCTCAGAAGGAAAGCATGAGAGTTAAATATTATATGCTCACAGTATACTAGTTCCTAGACATAATGCACAGACCTTACTCCTTCAGCTTAGAAAGTGTGGCTTACATTGTTTCATGAGTAGGTACGAGATTTCAGAGGAGAACTTATGTGTTACATTTTTTATTTGGCCGTGAAATTTAGAAAAGAATAGTAACATTTAAGGAAAGAAATGTAAGATGCCATAGTCTGACTTGAAAGTCCTTCCAGTAGCTATGAGAAATAACTTTACAGAACAAATTATTGCAATTTTTATTTATTTAATTTTTGAGACAGAGTCTCACTCTGTTGCCCAGGCTGGAGTGCAGTGGCGTGATCTCGGCTCACTGCAACCTCCGCCCCCCCCCCAACCAGGTTCAAGCAGTTCTTCTGCCTCAGCCTCCAGAGTAGCTGGGACTATAGTCGCCCCCCACCATGACTGGCTAATTTTTGTATTTTTAGTAGAGACGGGGTTTCACCATATTGGCCAGGCTGGTCTCGAACTCCTGACCTCGTGATCTGCCTGCCTCGGACTCCCAGAGTGCTGGGATTACAGGCGTGAGCCACCGCGCCCTGCCAAATTATTGCAATTTTTAACTTATCCACCAGTTTTAAGTTTCTATAATTCTCAGAAATTAAGAATTTCATTCTACTCTCTGTCCTCACCTCCAAAATAATCACTGGACAATGAAAATAAATGTTCAGGCTGGGTAAAGTGGCTCACGCCTGTAATACCAGCACTTCGGGAGCCCAGGAGTTCGAGACCAGCCTAGACAACATAGGGAGACCCCATCTCTACAAAAAATATAAAAAAATTAGCTGGGCACGATAGCATGCACTTGTATTCCTAGCTACTCAGGACACTGAGAGGGGAGGATCGCTTGGACCCAGGAGGTCGAGGTTGGGGATGCAGTGAGCCGTGATTGCGCCACTGAACTCCAGCCCAGGCAAGAGAATGAGACCCTGTCTCAAAAAGAAAAAAAATATTATTTTAGTGATCAAAAAATGTTTTGAGTTCCTGAAGTATGTATTCCTGTTAGCTCCTACTGTGTTTATTCTAGGTGTTGAAGATCAAACAGTGAGTCAAGTAGAAATGGCACCTGCTCCCATGTCACACAGAGCATGGTGGACTATACTGACAAACACTTAGAATCCAGTTTGGTTAACAAGAGGGCCAGGGGAACACTAGTAAATGGGAGAGACTTCACCTAGAATTGGTGGGTCAGAAAACTGAACCTATTTGTATGTTTCTTACCCTACACACGTTTTTAACAAGGTTATTTAAAGGTAACTCCTAACTCTAAAGCTGTAAAACTACATACTTACATAAAAATCTGCATCTTAAGTAGTTTAAGATGAGAGTCCACTGAAGTTTGGACTACGATATCTTTACTTAGTAAGCATGGGCATTATTAATTACTCTAAGAACTTTAGGACCATGCCCATAAATAGCATATGTCTAGAAATTTACACTGCCTTACTTATTTGAGACAGAGTCTTGCTCTGTCGCCCAGGATGGAGTACAGTGGGGCTATTTCAGCTCCTGCAACCTCTTCTCTTGCCTCAGCCTCCCAAGTAGCTGGATTACAGGCATGCGCCACCGGTCCTGGCCTACATTGCTCTTTTGATGTGCCTTGTTCTACTAACATGTTTAAATGGTAGCTGTTAAAAGAATGTTCATAGCATTATCTTCACTGATTATTCTTACAATATTAGGCAGTCTCAAATAGAAATTTGTATTTATTTTTTTTTTTTTTTGAGACAGAGTTTCGCTCTTGTTGCCCAGGCTGGAGTGCAGTGGTGTGATCTCGGCTCACCGCAACCTCTGCCTCAGCCTCCCGAGTAGCTGGGATTACAGGCACGTGCCACCATGCCCAGCCAATTTTTGTATTATTAGAGGCGGGGTTTCACCATGTTGGCCAGGCTGGTCTCGAACTCCTGACCTCGTGATCTGCCTGCCTCAGCCTCCCAGAGTGCTGGGATTACAGGTATGAGCCTCCGTGCCTGGCCAGAAATCTTTATTGTGTTTGTGGTGGGTGGGGTTTCATACAACACAAACTCTATAGTGAAGCTAGATTTGAATCCTAGCTCAGCTACTTACTGAGTATGCGTCATGAGCTGGGATACGCAGTATAACCTTAGGCTTCAGTTTTCTTATCTACTTTTTTTGAATGTTGAGGATTAAGTAAGTTAATGTATATAAAACAGTTGCATTAGTGCCTGTTCAGCAAAAAGTGAAAAGCGAGAGGTTAAGGGGGGCTCTTGAGCTAGGTTCAGAGAATTAGAAGAAGAAGGTGTTGGCCGGGTGCAGTGGCTCATGCCTGTAATCCCAGCACTTTGGGAGGCCCAGGTGGGTGGATCACGAGGTCAGGAGATCGAGACCATCCTGGCTAAAACAGTGAAACCCCGTCTCTACTAAAAATACAAAAAATCAGCAGGGCATGGTGGCGGGCATCTGTAGTGCCAGCTACTCGGGGGGCGGAGGCAGGAGAATGGCGTGAACCTGGGAGGCAGAGCTTGCAGTGAGCCAAGATAGCGCCACTGCACTCCAGCCTGGGCGACACAGCAAGACTCCATCTCAAAAAAAAAAAAAGAAGAAAGTGTTAGCAGTCTGATAACACAGCAGCAAACCTAAAAGAACAAAAAAGCAGACCCAACAACTTTTTAAAAAGTAATAATGCAAGACTATCAGTAATCACTAAATATTTAGCATAAATAATATTCTTATTTGTATGACTTATAGGCAATTTAGAAGATGCAGAAACAAAGGATCTCTTAGTTGCAGCAGAGGCATTTTCAGAATTGAATCACTTAAGCCCGGTTCAAGGAACTGAAGCTTCTCTTTGTGCACCATCAGTCTATGAAGGGTAAGTTAATGGAGAGAAATTCAAATACTTTTAGAAAGAAGTTTAATGAAATTATGAACCAGAAGTAAAATATTCTGTGCATGTTAGATTTCACTTAGATCTTTAACATCTCCATTTTGGTAATGTTGGCTGTTTTAAAAGAAGTTTAGTTGTGCAGTTATATGTCATTTAGTAGTTACTATAAAGTTTCGGAAATATACAGAGACACGGTAAATTGAGGCAGAACTCTGGTGATTCTGTTTTTGTTGAAGACCAAGATTTCGCTCACAGCTGTGCATACCTCCATGCCCTCTGCTTTCCAGTGGTTTCAGGATGATCAGGCACAAGACTCTTGTAGGTAGACACAGTAGAGCACAGGGGAGATGACAGACAGTTTTATTTCCTTCCATTTGTTCAATACATGACTCTAAGTTTGTGTTTTTTAACGACCATTTGAAACATACTCCCAAATAATTTTCATTGACACTTTACCAGATGACGTATTCAAAGTATGGTCAAGCAGATTGGTGAGAGTGTCAGTTTATGTTCTGCAACAAGATAAACAGCCTGCCTTGGAATATAGATAAGTGCACTGCCTCCTTTACGGAAAGTCAGCTGTACTAATCAGTATGATTAGTGAAGCAATTGATTCACCTTCTGGCAAGAGGTCCTTGTCTCATTGCGAGACTGACACAGATTGCATGTCCGCACTTTTGAATAACACCGTTGTAGAGGATACAAAAAAGGGACAGCTTCAGTTATCAAGTAGTAGTAAGGGTGATTCAGTAAAATTAACCGACACAAAATATAACTTACAACATTATAAATGGTTCGTTACTTTATACATAATGAAAGGGACTTACCAGACCACCTATACAATTCAGTATCATGATAGTCACCCCTTGTACCTTGAACTAAATCACATGCTTTACGCCTGAGAAATCTAGATTAGCTGGAATTTTTGCCAGGCCTGCATGGAAAAAGTAGAAGCCAGTATGAAAGGATTATCCAAATTATTTTTTCATTGTAATGTTTTTTGAATTTTAATGAAAACTAATGTTATTTATTGCAATGGCTTTCATGGATAATTGCAAAGCAAAGAGCAGTCGCATGAGAAGGAATCACATGAGAGTTACCAGCATGAGAAGGAATCACATGAGAGTTACCAGTGAGAACCTGGGTGCATATTCACTATCTTGGCTAACTAGTTCCTTTTAAAATATAAGCTTATTTGATATTTTGTGGTGATGTATCACTGTTACTTTTATGGTAAAATCTATAAATGTTTCAAATACCTTTTTATTGAATTTACTTTCAAATACTATTTGTTGTAATTTTCAAAATTAGCATGCTTTAATTGGGTTTTGAGAAAGGTCAGATTAGAATATTAAAGGAACACTGTCATCATATTCCAGGATTTATTTTCATGTGGATTAATACAGGTTTCATTGGTCTCTTATTCTGAGTCATTTATCATACTTTTTCTAGGTAGCATTAAAATATTGAACCTTGCCTCTACTGAGTTCATAGAAAATATTCCAGAATACTTGACAGACTTATTTGAAGACTGGCCACAGATTATTAAAAATTGGCTTAAATATAATGTATACTGACAGGCATTTTAAAATCATTTCATTTCTACTTTAAGGCCATGCCATTGTTGCCAAAAGAGTAAAACATTAGAAAATGGGTAAAACAAGTACAGCATTGTTTCTGAATTCACTTTTAAATTTTATATTATTGTTCAGAATGAGCTTGAGTTGTATTGAATTCTCTGAACCTCAGTTTACATCACCAAAATGACAGGTTAGGTGGTAGGACTAAAGCAGGTTAAAGCAGATGGGATCTTCTTACACACTAAGGTATGTATTTCTTTTTCTAAAGGAAAATCTTCACCCAGAAGTCCAAGGTACCAGTGTTGGACGAAGGATTAACATCTGTTGAAACCTACACCCCTGCAATTAGAGCAAATGACAATAAATGTATGTATAATAATTTTGACTTCAGGATTATTCCATTTTTGTGTTTTGAGTGAAGAGTTTTCTGTTCTTAGAACAAAATAATCTATTGTGTTATTCAGATTTTTCCTCCTCAGTTATTCCTCTCTCTGGTCAGCTTTCCTGGTGTAGAAGTATTCTAAGGAGATATATAAGCTGTCAGACAGTGGGTTGCTTGTAAGGCATTCTGTGGCTCTAATATTCAAAGTCTTAGATTACTAGTCCACAGCCAAATGCATCCCTGCCGTTTGATCTTCTTGGACTCAGAAGAGTTATTTCGTGTTTGTTTGTGATAACTTAAGGCCAAGGTTGACTTTTCATTATTAGAAAATAATCACAAATGACTGAATATTCTCCAGGGAAATTAACAAATATATGGAATTTTTTTTTTAATCCAATGAGCATTTTTGTGAAGGCCTATTCTCAGTTAGGCCCTGGCTATACAGAGATGAGGAAGATAGGATTTTCTTAAGGAGCTTACAGTTGGATTCAGGGGAAGCAGACACCTTGAATGTCTATGCCCAGAATTGGTCTGATCATCTTGTGTCTATTAACTCATTTAATCCTCACAGCACTATACTATGACATAGTTGTTATCTGACTCTAGAGCCCATGCTCTCAACTGTTATGCCTTTGTTCCTGGTACATTATGAATGGGGTATACGGCAAGCTTCAGCAGACTAGTTTTTGTCCCATGATTAAGGTAATACATGATTATGGAGTAATCCAGAGAGAATTGTCTAACATGTAAAAAGCCGATCACCCATTTTAGGGGTCCATAATTAACCATTTAAAGTGTCTTTCCTGAATTTTTGTTTTCTGTGCCCATTTCTCCCGATATGTTGGAAGAGGAGACAAGACGGTGCCTGAAGAGTGCAGGGGGCTGAACCCGAATGTGTGGGTTCCTAACCCAGTTCTGCACTTCCCAGTTCTGCACTTAAGGGCTGTGTCTCTATTTTTTTTTGTTGGTAAAATATTAATAGTTTTAAATGGGAATATTAATAAGACCCATTTCCTAGAGTTGTCAGGATTAAGCCCCTTGCATGTAAAGTGTTTTGTGTAGCGCTTGGTACCTGAAGTTTAGTAAATGTTAGCTGTTAGAAATGATCATTATCAAAAAAGCAACTTTCTTTTCTCATGTAATATATTTAAGACATTTTTTCTGTCAGGAATATAGATTAATCCTGTTCTTTTTAACAGCTCTAATAGTGTTTTGTAGTGTAGATGTTACATGCTTAACTAATTGCTTATTGCTGAACATTTGGGCCAATCACCATTTTGGGGTTTGTTTTGCTGTTTCTGCAGTGAATATTCTTGTGCACATTACATTCTATGTCAGTATTTCTTTCGGGTAGATTCCTAACCATGGACTTGTTGGGTCCAGAAGTATGTACAGATTTTTTTTTTTTTTTTTTTGAAACAGAGTCTCGCTCTGTCACCCAGGCTAGAGTGCAGTGGTGCAATCTCGGCTCACTGCAAGCTCCGCCTCCCAGGCTCACGCTATTCTCCTGCCTCAGTCTCCCGAGTAGCTGGGACTACAGGTGCCCGCCACCACGCCTGGCTAATTTTTTGTATTTTTAGTGGAGACAGGGTTTCACCGTGTTAGCCAGGGTGGTCTCGATCTCCTGACCTCATGATCCACCTGCCTTGGCCTCCCAAAGTGCTAGGATTACAGGCGTGAGCCACTGCGCCCAGCCAGATTTTTAATATTTTATTGTTGTATCCAATAAAGTTTGTATACTACTTTTATGTATTTGATGAGAAGCCTGTAAAGTGGTTTTTCGTCGTCCTCTTTTTGCCAAACAGGAAAACATTTTTCATTTTGTTTTATTAGTATCCACATGTTAGGGATAATAGCCCCATTTTCCATTGAAAGTGTAGAAATATTTTTTCCTAGTTCATCTTTTATTTTTGTGCTTTTTTATTGATGTTTTGTTGTTGTTAAACACTAAAGGATTTTAAAGTAGTAGAGTACATTTGTACCTATTTGAATGCTTTCTGCCAAAAGAGATTCATTCTTTATCCTAGTTGTATCAAAGCCCAGATTGCATGTTCCTCATGTAATTCTGTAATTACTCTACAAGGATAGCTGGTTGTCTGGTAGTCACCTGGTGAATACAGTTTCAGATTAATAAGGAACAAGCACCTGAACTTCCTTGAAGCAGTTGGTCGTCATATTAATGTTTCCTGATACCGTTTATCAGTTATCATTTTTAAATGTGAAATTTACCTTTTTCTGTTTTATCTCTGTGGAAAGGTGTGTATTGTTTAAGAAGTTGCAGACTTTTCTGGCATTGTGATAGTTTATTAATACACTATTCAAGTGCAGTGTAGCCTTTTCCTTTCTGTTTGCTTCCTTGTGTGTGGATTTATTTTTCAGTTTAAATGTAAAAAATTCACTCATTTTTCTTTCAGCTATGGCTGATGTCCTTGGTGATGGTGGAAACTCCTCGCTCACTATCTCTGAAGGTCCTATTGTCTCTGAGCGCAGGCTTAACCAGGAAGTAGCGCTGAACTTAAAAGAAGATCATGAAGTAGAAGTTGGTGTACTAAAAGAAAGTGTTGACTTACCAGAAGAAAAGCTTCCAATTTCTGACAGCCCTCCTGATACTCAAGAAATTCATGTAAAAAAAATTAATTTTTTACTTCTTTATCAGTCTTTCAGTTTTGGTTTAGTTGTTTCAAGACACAGTAGTTCAAATCTAACACGTTCATTTATTTGACTGCTATATAAAAACTTATTTATAAAAATATGGGTTCAAAAAATAAGTGTATAAATCTTTTGTGGAATATAAAAACACATCCTTTAATAAATCAACCTTGGAGGTGGGTGCTGTGGCGGGTGCCCATAGTCCCAGCTACTTGGGAGTTTGAGGAGGGAGGATCCTTGAGCCCAAGAGTTTGAGACCAGCCTGGGCAACATAACAAAATCCTGTCTCAGGGAAAAAATAAATAAATAAATAAACTGGTTTTCATGAAAGCCAAAAGGAAGTGTTAAAGAAGCCATAGTTTTATCAAGTTAATTTTTGCTGATCTGGTTCAAATGAAAGGTTTTTTTAGTCATAAGATCATATATTTGAAAATATATGGATACAGTTACACAGGATTGACACCCCCGCCCCATGCATCCTTGTGGGAGAATGATAGTCAACTGGCTGGTGTTGAACATCTGTACACTCTGAAAATAACTTTTTGCTACTTAATAAGACTTAGTTTTTTTAAAAAAAAAATTCTATTATACCAAATCTTTTATTACCAGCAGGCAACTTTTATGTAATAAATTTTAAGATAAAAAACCAACTCTTCTAATTATTTATAGAAATTTGGATAAAAAACCAACTCTTCTAATTATTTATAGAAATTTGTTTAGGATTTGGGAAGTTTCTTAACTCATAAAAATGTCATCGTTATCCATACTCATCTTAATGAGTATTCCCACTGCCAAATAGATGAGTAAAGTTCCAGTTCTTTTAGTTGGGAAGCTAATAAGAGTTGTGGGTATGGTGTAAGTGGGAATCCTAATTTCTAGGTTATTTCCAATCTGTCATCTCACTGAATGTTTGGGGAGTGGGAAAATGTCATTGTCTAGGTGGGTGGTAATGTTCTACCTTCTTGGTCAGGAGATCTCTCTGTTACTTTCTACCTCCTCCTTTTTCTCCCCTTCCCTTACCAAAAGGTAATTGCAAGGACCATTCCTTCTTCCACCAAACCCTTGCAGGAGAGGTACTGAACTTGAAAGCCTTAGGAATTTCATGGTTTATGCAGCCCCAGCAAAGGGAAGAGGATTGAGTCTAGCCCAAGGGAGCTTATGTAGGTGAATTGTTCTTCAACCTTACGGGGATCGTGCTATTTAGAAAAGTGTGGATAGTTAGGTAATTTGGGGAATACCATTAAAACACAGTTTGGGGGTTGTTTCTGTTTTTTCCGGTTAATTTTTTTTCTTGGGTGAGAATAGAATAAGTCCTTAAATGTTTTCAGAACTGTTAGCATCATAATTTTCAAGCTTTTGTTGACTGTCTTTTTAGCTAGGGAAATGTAGAATTTCTAGTTAAATTTCAGTCATAATCTCAAAATGTAGTTATTTTGACTGAATGAGAAAGTCTGATTGCTTAAAGGGATAATTTTGTAAAGTAAACCCATAAGTATATGCCATATTAAATATAATTTATGTTTTAAAAGGCACACAGCCAAGGGTCATCAAAAACCTGTGTGCTTCAAGTTAAAACATGTATTAAAATTCTTTAACCAGTCTCTTATCTTTAATTCATTTAGGTGATTGAACAAGAAAAGCTTGAAGCTCAAGATTCAGGAGAAGAGGCTAGGAATCTTTCATTTAATGAGTTATATCCCTCTGGAACACTTAAGCTTCAGTACAATTTTGATACTATTGACCAACAGTTTTGTGACTTAGCTGATAACAAAGACACTGCTGAATGTGACATTGCTGAAGTAGATGGGGAACTTTTTGTGGCTCAAAGCAACTTTACCTTGATATTGGAAGGTGAAGAAGGAGAAGTTGAGCCAGGTGATTTTGCATCATCTGATGTGTTACCTAAAGCAGCTAACACAGCAACTGAAGAAAAACTTGTATGCAGTGGGGAAAATGATAATCATGGACAAATTGCAAATTTGCCATCTGCCGTAACTAGTGACCAAAAGTCCCAAAAAGTAGACACTTTACCATATGTGCCTGAACCTATTAAAGTAGCAATTGCAGAAAATTTACTAGATGTAATTAAAGACACAAGAAGTAAAGAAATTACTTCAGATACAATGGAACAGTCCATTCATGAAACAATACCTTTAGTGAGCCAAAACATAATGTGTCCCACTAAATTGGTCAAATCTGCATTTAAGACTGCTCAGGAAACAAGCACAATGACTATGAATGTCAGCCAGGTTGATGACGTGGTTTCCTCCAAAACTCGTACGAGAGGTCAACGTATCCAAAACGTGAATGTCAAATCAGCACAACAGGAAGCATCAGCAGATGTTGCTACTCCTAAGATGCCAGGGCAGTCAGTCAGGAAGAAAACTAGGAAGGCAAAAGAAATTTCTGAAGCTTCTGAAAACATCTATTCTGATGTCAGAGGACTATCTCAGAACCAGCAAATACCTCAAAATTCTGTTACGCCTAGGAGAGGAAGGAGAAAGAAAGAAGTTAATCAGGACATACTAGAAAACACCAGTTCTGTGGAACAAGAATTACAGATCACTACAGGTAGGGAATCAAAAAGATTAAAATCATCTCAGCTGTTGGAACCAGCAGTTGAAGAAACTACTAAAAAAGAAGTTAAGGTTTCATCTGTTACAAAAAGGACTCCTAGAAGAATTAAAAGATCTGTAGAAAATCAGGAAAGTGTTGAAATTATAAATGATCTAAAAGTTAGTACGGTAACAAGTCCTAGCAGAATGATCAGAAAATTGAGAAGTACTAATTTAGATGCTTCTGAAAATACAGGAAATAAGCAAGATGATAAATCCAGTGACAAGCAGCTGCGTATTAAACATGTTAGAAGGGTCAGAGGGAGAGAAGTTAGTCCATCAGATGTGAGAGAAGACTCCAACCTTGAGTCATCTCAGTTGACTGTTCAAGCAGAATTTGATATGTCTGCCATACCTAGAAAACGTGGTAGACCAAGAAAAATCAATCCATCTGAAGATGTAGGATCTAAGGCTGTTAAGGAAGAGAGAAGCCCCAAGAAGAAAGAAGCTCCCAGCATTAGAAGGAGATCTACAAGAAATACCCCAGCTAAAAGTGAAAATGTTGATGTTGGAAAACCAGCTTTAGGAAAATCCATTTTAGTGCCAAACGAGGAACTTTCGATGGTGATGAGCTCTAAGAAAAAACTTACAAAAAAGACTGAAAGTCAAAGCCAAAAACGTTCATTGCACTCAGTATCAGAAGAACGCACAGATGAAATGACACATAAAGAAACAAATGAGCAGGAAGAAAGATTGCTCGCCACAGCTTCCTTCACTAAATCATCCCGCAGCAGCAGGACTCGGTCTAGCAAGGCCATCTTGTTGCCGGACCTTTCTGAACCAAACAATGAGCCTTTATTTTCTCCAGCGTCAGAAGTTCCAAGGAAAGCAAAAGGTACTTTTCTTTCTCTGCAAAACAGTTTTTCATCTCAGTCACTCTTCAGCTTAAAATTTGGTTATTTGTCCTAAAAATGGTTTTATAGGGAATTTTTCCCCTTCCCCCCTCAAACCAAAATTGATCTTTTAGTAGTAAAGTTTAAAGGTTTCATGTTTCAAAGTTTGAGTTCAGTTATTCAGTATGGTTAACATGACTTAAATCCTGTAACTCACGTAACAGATTTATTTTTTAGAATAGTGTAATTTCTCTTCTGTGAGTTTTATAAATTATAAGTGACTTTTAATTAAGTTTCTTCCAAAATAGTCAATATTTTTAATCTCCCATGTACTGCTGCATTTGGCTCACACCCCAGTGATATCCACAACCCGAAATTGTTTTGAAGGGAAACACCAGTAGCTTTTTACTAAGATACAGAAATTATTTCAATCCATATTCACTATTGCCCACAAACTGGCGCATCTACATGCCCTCATCTTCAGTGAGGCCATCCTTCATTGTCACGAGCTAAGGACTGTATTTGGTTGGTGTAGGTCAGAGCTTCTCAACAGGGGTGATCTCTCCCCAAAGGGAGCACATATATGCATTAAGAATACAAACAGATATACAATATATCTGCAGTAATAAAATTTTAATAGGGGGTGCTTTAAACATGTCTAAAAAGTTAAGACACTGGTGTGGCTGAATAGATCCCATCAGAGTAACTCTCTGTAAAAGTGTTAATGGTTAGGTAAACAAAATGTAGGGGGTTTGTGTTGTTTGTTTGAGGTAGAGTCTCACTCTGTCGCCCAGGCTGGAGCACAATGGCATGATCTCGGCTCACTGCAACATGTGCCCCCTGGGTTCAAGGGATTCTCCTACCTCAGCCTCCCTAGTAGCTGGGATTACAGGCCTGGCTAATTTTTTGTATTTGTAGAGACAGCATTTCGCCATGTTGGCCAGGCTGATCTTGAACTCCTGACCTCAAGTGATCCACCCGCCCCAGCCTCCCAAAGTGTTGGGATTACAGGCGTGAGCCACCACACCCAGCCATGTAGTTGACTATTTAAGTTACAGTTTAATATTTGAATTTCAGCAAAGCAGTTCAGGACCTTATAAATAAAGTAGATGACTTGGCCGGTCACGGTGGCTCACGCCTGTAATCCCAGCACTTTGGGAGGCCAAGGCGGGTGGATCACGAGATCAGGAGATCGAGACCATCCTGGCTAACACTACTAAAAAAAATACAAAGAAATTATCCGGGCGTGGTGGCGGGCGCCTGTAGTCCCAGCTACTCGGGAGACTGAGGCAGGAGAATGGTGTGAACCTGGGAGGCAGAGCTTGCAGTGATCCAAGATTGTGCCACTGTATTCCAGCCCGGGGGGCCAAATAATAATAATAATAAATAAAGTAGATGACTTGTTGTACTGATACAGTTTGAGCCCAGGAGAATGACTCTCCCCATAACAATTGATCATTTGTCCTAAAAATGATTTGTAGCTATAGGGGATCCTCCTCTCCCCTCGTCACTCAGAAAATTTTTAATTGGATCTTCGATTTTGGTAGTATAACTTAATTTCTTCACAGTGTTAGAAAAGTGTGGTTAGACCTATGTTTTGCATGGAGGAGAATGAAATGACAGAATGTGTGATATTTTAGCCAACTTTTTTTAAGTTCATTTTATTAAGGTTTTATTAAAAAGTTAAAATGAAAAACATTTTATTGGCAGGGAGTGGCAGGAAGTCATTCACATAACTTATACACTCCTCAGGACCTGGAGGAATATAGTAACCACCAAAAGTGAGAGTTATTTTGTTAGAGCTTAGCAAACATCTCAGTAATTCTGATTTTTGTCATCTTTACCTATTTTTCATTTCTGTACCTACTAATTTTAACTTTTTTCTGTTAAACTAAAAATACCTGCAACAACATGGCCAAAAAAACCCCATCTCTACAAAAAGTACAAAAATTAGCCAGACCTGGTGGCATAGGCTTGTGGTCCCAGCTACTTGGGAGGCTGAGGCAGGAGGATCACTTGAGCCTGAGAGTTTGAGGCTGCAGTGAGCCATGATCGTGTGCCCCTGCACTCCAGCCTGGGCAACAGAGCAAGACCACGTCTCAAAACAAAAACAATACATGCCTACTTACTGAAAACTCTAAAATAGAAGTATATAATCCAGCCATCGAAAGAATCACCATTCACGTTTTCCTGTATATCGTTCCAGATACATATGTATGGTTGGTATTTAAAAACCTGCAGTTTATGTACGTGCATATATTCTGCTTTTGTCCCCCTACTTATGTCATGAGCATTTTCAGTTTTTTTTTTGTTTGTTTTTTTTTTTTGAGATGGAGTTTGGCTGTTGTTACCCAGGCTGGAGTGCAATGGTGTGATCTTGGCTCACTGCAACCTCCGCCTCCTGAGTTCAAACAATTCTCCTGCCTCAGCCTCCCCAGTAGCTGGGATTACAGGTGCTTGCCACCACGCCTGGGTCATTTTTTTGTATTTTTAGTAGAGACAGGGTTTCGCCATGTTGGCCAAGCTAGTCTCAAACGCCTGACCTCAGATAATCCACCCGCCTTGGCCTCCCAAAGTGCTGGGATTATAGGCATGAGCCACTGTGCCCAGCCTTCAGTTAATCTTAAATATTCTTCAAAATCCAACCAGCCTGGGCAACTTAGTGGGACCCCATCTCTACAAAAGAAAAATTTTTAATGATTTGGGCATGTGGTGGCTGCACCTGTAGTCCCAGCTACTTGGGAGGCTGAGGTGTGAGGATGGCTTGAGCCCGGGAGGTTGAGGTTGCAGTGAGCCATCACACCACTGTGCTCCAGCCCAGGTGACAGATTGAGATCCTGTCACCTCCCCACCCCCATCCCCCCAAAAAATATATATATGTATATGTATATATATTTCAAAATCTTAAACGTAATATTTCTTTTTTTTTCATATTGGCATTTCATCTCACAAATGTGCCACAGATTGTTTAAACCCTCTTCTGTTGGGTATTTGAATTGCTTTCAGATTTTTTAATATTAAAAATAGGCACCTGCTAGAATGAGATGATGGGATTGGAAGGGATAAGAAACTTGGGATTGAGATCTCTCATTTCTGCCACTTACTAGCTGGGCAGAAAATCATTTAACCTTTATGAGCCTTGTTTCCTCCTCCTAGAATGAATGTGGTAGTGCATACCTTACAGGGGTTCTTATGAGTATTCACTCCTTTAACAAAGCAATGACCACTCTAGGACATAGCTTCCTGTCTTCCTCTGCCCTTTATACTGTTACCATACTTTCTGTCCCTTGTGCCTATTTATATTCTAAACTTCGTTTTTACATAGGGATGCAGGTGCCGAGAAGACTGGGTATAGGTATACTATATGATTGGAAGGCTAGAGGTGGTCCTTTATTTTATTGAAACATAGCGAAGAAATTATCTTAGAATTTTGTGTTTTACTAAATGAATATGAAACTTCACATTTCATACAGCAGATATTAAGAAGGGCCTGCTATATACCTAAGGCCATACTAGATACATGACATTCATATATCGTTTGATTCCCACTTCAACCCAGTAAAGTGTAGGTACTTTTACTTCCTTCTGTCCTCATTGAGGAAACTGAAGTTCATTGAGACTGTGCACTCACATCACCCAGGGAATAAGTAAGATGTGTTGTTCTAGAGCTACTACTGCTACTACTGGCTGGTAAGAGCCAATTGTTAAATATCCAAGAACTTGTAACCCAGCCATGGTTTGCATTGGCCACAGGAGGCACATTTATACCTTAGAAATCAGCAAATGCTGCAAATCAGAGCTCTCTTTGAATTTCCAGAGTCATTTGCTAGGACACAGTTGGGTTTGAACCTAGGCCTTTTGAACTCCTTAATCCTCAAAACAAGAGATGGGTAAAGAATTGACATACACTCAAGAAAGTCTCATCTGTGCTATAATAGAAGCACATGGAAAAAATGGTGGAGGCTATTTTTGCATGTGATAGTATATTTTTGTATTTCCTTATATATTTGAAATGGAGTAGGAAAGCTTAGGTGAAGATTACGAAAAGTGAAATAAATCGTTTTTTCAGGTAGCCTAGAAGAGAGTTATAGAATGTATAATTTTCGTAGAAATACTTTTGTTCATCTGTTTCTTGAAGCCAAGAGAGAGACCACCAGTAGACCTAGCCATTGCCATTTCTGCCATTTACAAGCTGGGAGCAGAGATTATATATTTCTGATATCTGATATCAACTCTATTTTTCTTTTTTTTAAGAATCATATGCTTATATATACACCTACTGTGTACCCACAAAAAACATTTTTATATATACACCTACTGTGTACCCACAGAAAACATTTTTATATATACACCTACTGTGTACCCACAAAAAACATTTTTATATATACACCTACTGTGTACCCACAAAAAACATTTTTTTAAAGAATCATGCTCGAAAAGCAGAATTTGATAGAACTCTTGACTATCCCAGTAGCTGAAGTAACATGAACTGTGATTTTATTTCAAGGGTTTGTAAATGATATTCTTGAAATAACAAATGCAAACATCTGTAGAGCACTTACCACCTACCCTGCCACACATTGTTCTGCTTCTTTCATCCTCAGAACAACTTTGAGATAGATGCTACTATTAACCCTATTTTATAGAAACTGATGCACAGACAGGTTTAAGTTACTTGATTCTGGTCTCACAGTAAGTCCAGAAGCTGGGATTTACTCCGGCAGACTGGTTAAACTGAACTGTGCTCGTCTGTAATTATATTGATAATTGCTTTTAATATGGGGGCCCTATAGTTAAAAAAAAAAAAAAAAGTCTGTGTGGTAAATGCTTTTAATTCCTTATTTTAAACCAATTGTTGTTTAAACCATTTTTATTTTTCTATGGAATATCTTCCTGTTAGCTTTTCACTCTGTTACCCAGGCTGGAGTGCAGTGGCACAATCATGGCTCACTGTAGCCTCAGCTTCCCAGGCTCAGGTGATCCTCCTGCCTCAGCCTCCCACGTAGCTGACACCACAGGCGTGCACCACCACATTGGCTAATCTTTTAAAAATTTTTTGTAGAGACAGGGCTCTCACTTTGTTGATCAGGCTAGTCTTGAACTCCTGGCCTTAAGCCGTCCTCCTACCTCAGCCTCCCAAAGTGCTGGAATTACAATTGTGAGCCACTGCACCTGGCACTTTCTCCTTTTGTGGAGATGAACTTTTCTGTTCCTTTGGCTGGAACAAGTAGTTCAAA
The DNA here is from genome assembly GCF_000001405.40 of Homo sapiens. Classification (NCBI taxonomy): domain Eukaryota; kingdom Metazoa; phylum Chordata; class Mammalia; order Primates; family Hominidae; genus Homo; species Homo sapiens. The sequence continues at coordinate 246,844,379 of NC_000001.11, read as the reverse complement.
ATGAGGTGGCTAGAAAGATTTTCTCTTTTTTGAAAATAAAAAACCTACTTTGTAAATAACGTCTCTGCAATAGCAGTAGTTATGGCACAGACTAGCTCAGGTTACATATAGGATTAATGCTTTCCCTCCCCAGAATGCTTGAGGAGCAGTACGGATTAAAAGAAATAGACTAAACAGTTCTGTACCTGCTTTCATGGCCTGTCTTTATATTGTAGCACTTTTTAGTTTGAAGCATTCAATCGTCCTACACATTTGGCTTACCCAAATGATGCTGGGATTTTTCTGTCGTTTCTCTGCCAACATGGATACTTAGGTTGCAATACTAATGGTTTCCAGGTTTGGGGACGTTTGCATCTTTCTAAAACACATAATTTGTTCCAGGTTTTTATTGTGTTTATATATATACACACATATATAAAGATACAGATACAGTTTTTTCAACTTTTTTTAGCTAAAAAAATAGAGGTTCCTGCACAGCTGAAAGAATTAGTTTCGGATTTATCTTCTCAGTTTGTCATCTCACCTCCTGCTTTAAGGAGCAGACAAAAAAACACATCCAATAAGAACAAGCTTGAAGATGAACTGGTAAGAAATGCATGATTTTATTTGTATGTTTGTTAAAACATACTTTTTTTTTTTACAAATGTTTTAATAAAATTATTTTATTTAAATTTTAATGATTTTAAATTTTGTTTATTATTTAAATAAATGTCTTAAAGATAACAGTCATGCATACCAAAAGCCAAAAATGGTCGTATCCACCCCTTTGGAGGCCTCCTACCTTTAAGACACATCTGTGGTATGCTACTGATCATATTTTACCAGCAGTTACAGTTTAAATTACCTGTTTGTGGAAGGGTTTTTAAATTCTAGTGTCCATCAGAATTACCTGGGTGTTTTTTAAAGAAATAGTTGAGGGATTGAGTGCGAGTCCCTTAAGTTTATAAATGTTAATTCATAAGCATTTATTGAATTATCTGCCATGAGTCTGCTACTCTGCAAGGGCAAATTACACAAGAATAATTCAGGCAAATTCCTTGTCTGTCAGGCACCTACAGTTCAACTGAGATACACAGTTTCATTGAAGAGATGAAAACAATTACTTCAAATACTTTATAGACCGAGGTTAGAGGAGACAGGCATTCCTCCCAACAGAGTAAATGGCAGACGCAAAGGCTCAGAGCATGGCAATGGCAGGCAGATGAGGAGTGTTCATTGTGAATAGCCATGTGTGTATTACAGGTAGTCTCTATGAAAGATGAAATGTGGGTAGGAAACAATAGTCTCTGGTTGTCTACTTCTTAGAAAGTGAGAGCCTGGATCTGGACAAAGGGAGTGGGTACAGAAGGGCAGTAGACAGTGGAAACATTCAAAAATAAAACTGATGATAACTTGGAGATTAGTTGAATTGTAGGAATGAGGAATAAAGAACAGGCCTGCATAACTAAGGTTTCTACTAAAAGGTATGAGAAAAGGAGTCAATTTTGCATTTGGCGAGTTTGAATTCATCAGTGTTTGGCTCTAGTATTCCTTGTCTCAGGATAGAAGTTTTAAAATTGGATTCGTGTTTAATACTTAACCTTTTAAAATGTTTAACCCATAGAAAGATGATGCACAATCAGTAGAAACTCTGGGAAAGCCAAAAGCGAAACGAATCAGGACGTCAAAAACAAAACAAGCAAGCAAGTATGACTTTCTGTTCTGTTCTTGATTGATTGATTGATTGAGACAGTCTCGCTCTGTCCCCACCCTACTATCCTCCTTTTATTATTTTATTTTATTTTTATTTATTTTTTTTGAGACAGAGTCTCGGTCTGTCACCAAGGCTGGAGTGCAGTGGTGTGATTTCGGCTCACTGCAACCTCTGCCTCCCAGGTTCAGGTGATTCTCATGCCTCAGCCTCCCAAGTAGCTGGGACTACAGGTGCCCACCACCACACCTGGCTAATTTTTGTATTTTTAGTAGAGACGGCATTTTATCATGTTGGCCAGGCTGGTCTCAAACTCCTGGTCTCAAGTGATCCGCCTGCCTTGGCCTCCCATAGTGCTTGGATGACAGGTGTGAGCCACTGCACCCAGCCTTGTTCTGTAATTTTTATCCATTTTTTTCTCAAAATTAGATTTGAGAAGACCCTTAATTTTACGAAAAGGAAATTAAGCTCATCAGAAAAGATTATCGGGCATTTACAAGCACTGGCTCCCTGGCATTGTTAGATTTCACTGCTGAAGGTGGATTTCTTTATATATTAATAGCATGAAAGCCCAGTCCTTTTAAAAGGAACATGGGAGGTCGGGCGTGGTGGCTCACGCCTGTAATCCGAGCACTTTGGGAGGCCGAGGTGGGTGGATCACGAGTCAGGAGTTCAAGACCAGCCTGGCCAAGATGGTGAAACCCTGTCTCTACTGAAAAAAAAAAAAAAAAAAATTAGCTGGGCGTGGTGGTGGGTGCCTGTAGTCCCAGCTACTCTGGAGGCTGAGGCAGAATCACTTGAACCCAGGAGGCGGAGGTTGCAGTGAGCCAAGATCACGCCACTGCACTCCAGCCTGGGTGACAGACTGAGACTCTGTCTCAAAAAAATAGATAAATAAAAATAAAATAATAAAAGGAGGATGGTAGGGTGGGGGCAGTTTAGTTCCCAATGGATATTTCTGGTTTTTGCAGAAAAAGTAGGAAAGGGAAGTGGGATGGTTTACCTCTTTGTCAGGAAAGTTAGGTAACTATTAGTAAAAAACAATTATACACTTTAAAATCCTGCAATTATTTTACAGAAAGCACTAAAACTGCATGCATGGGAAGATCACTCCATTTCAGATGTATTTGTTACACAGTATCTTGTTTATGCTGTGCTTAGTAGGCATGGTTGAATTCAATAAAAGCACACGTGAATGCATTTTATTTAAGACACTATGGCTAATACCACTGTTTACATATAAACTGGCGTATCTATGTGAGAAACTCAAGTTTGTGAAATTCTGTGCATCTTTGCTAATTGCTGTGTTTGATCATTGACATTTCTGACATGCCACATGGGCCTGCGGGGCTGTCATCCCCTGGGCTGACAACTGGTACTCGGCCCGTCCTTGTAATCCAGCAGTATTTTTTCATACATTTGAAACATTTAGAGGAAAATTCAGTAATTGAATAATTGTTTGTAAATATTCTGATCGAAAATGAAAAAATTCCCCTTAATGAAACCTGAACTCTGCTTCTGATTAGCTTATATGACTTAAAGCTTCACTTCAGTTCCCTTGAAACCATTACATCTTTTATAAAATGAAAGCACTAAGCAGTCCCTAAGGTTTTTCTCAACATGTTGGGAAGCCAATTTTATTTTATAGCATAATGTGTTTATTCTTACTTGATCATATCTTTTTTTTTCAGAAACACAGAAAAAGAAAGTGCTTGGTCACCTCCTCCCATAGAAATTCGGCTGATTTCCCCCTTGGCTAGCCCAGCTGACGGAGTCAAGAGCAAACCAAGAAAAACTACAGAAGTGACAGGAACAGGTCTTGGAAGGAACAGAAAGAAACTGTCTTCCTATCCAAAGCAAATTTTACGCAGAAAAATGCTGTAATTTCTTGGGAAGATTTTAATGTACACCTATTTGTAAAGTCATCAGAATAGTGTGGATTATTAAATATCTAGTTTGGAAGAAAATAATTTATATAAATTATTGTAAATTTTTATGTAAACAGAAGGTCTTCAATAAGTAAAGTAACTCCATATGGAGTGATTGTTTCAGTCCAGGCAATTTTTCTATTTTATATTAAGACTTCATACATTTATATATGTAAATATGGCTTATTAATGGAATGTTAAATAAAATGTATACTTCACAGTCGTTTGTGTCTTGGATTTTTGAAAGGGAGGGGATATCTGTTTAAATAGTTTTATATGCTCATTGGTCTCATTTTCTCTATAATTAAAATACTAGACCAGTCTTAAAATGGGGATGATTGAAGTATTGATATTTCTTTTTACAGTTACTATTTTATAATTTATGCACTTTGATTCTGTGATTCAGATTTCTAATCAGAAAATGTATTTTTTTGTTTTTGGCTGTTACTATGTTAAAATTGAATTATGGGCATGTCATTTTGCCATCTTTGTAGTTTCACAAATTTTGTGTAATCTACCTCAAATGAATAATCCAAGTATTGGTTAACTATAATGTTGGCATCTCTTATTCGGCAAGCTTAAAGGCTCTTTAAAGTCTTAATTAGTCAAAGACTAATCCAGGTTAGATTGACCGGTTCACTGCTCACTTGCAACCTTATCAAAGGGTTTGACAAAGGGAAATGTAAAATAAATCTGTTTATGGATATTGAGTGCATCTTGTATGTGCCTAATATTGATAGGATGAGATGTCTGAACAAATTTTTATAATATTGCTGTGAAGGAGCTTGCTATTGAACCACAGAAATCCCTTAATATTCAGGTTTTAAAACTGGCAAATTCTCACAGGACCTCAGGCACAGATTATTGAGGTTGGGAGAGAGTGAGTAGATGTAGAAAAGGAGAAAAACAACACACGCCCTGTTCTCTACAGTACAACTGTGTGCAATTAAGCAATGGTACTTGATGTAGGCTCTAACACTCATCAATAAATAAGTGTTGTAAAATAATTTATAACAGGTAATCGATAGTGTGTAATGAATGGACTATTAATAATTGATTATCTAGAAACGAACTGCTTTCGTGGGCTTTTAATATTTTAATGTGAAGCATATGCAGTGTGCTTTCTGCATTTATTTTTCTACCAAATAATACAGATAATGAGAAATTGGTGAAAATGCCTACGCAAAGTGTTGACAGTGTGAAAGCAGTGCGAGTGCGGCCTTTTAGTCAGGTTAGTGATGGATGTTACGCTGCCTTGTTGAAAATTTCACTGACTTTGATTTTATTACTTTTTTAATGATAGTTATCAAACTTGTATTTAAGCTGCTTGTCATTTATGGAATATTGAACTTATTTAAATGAACTTGTTAAATGAATAAAGAGCTAAACATAATTCAGTAAACAATTCCTTTGCGCAAGTAGCACAATAAACATGGATGCAACGTATGTCAAGTTAATACTTTTTTAAACCAACGCAATTTGGTGAATATAGATGTGTGGTACCTGTTTTTAATAAGTGTACTTTTTTTCCCCCCTCCGTGAATGTAGATCATAAGCAAACAAATTGCCTGTTCTAAATGAACTTTACATATATTTTAAATGAATGTATGTACTTACGTATAAATGTCTTTATATAGCTTGAATAAAAACACTGCTCATTAAAATGTGTTGCTACAACATTTTAGGATAGCGCATGAATGATATTCTCGGACCTTGTAGCAACCATGTATCTGATGATCAAAGCATTGGTTAAACTAAGGTGCTTAGTATCATAGTAGTAAGGTAAACAATGTACTCAGAGAGATACTTAGTATCATAGTAAGGTAAATGATATACTCAGAAAGATACTTAGTATCAGTAGTAAGGTAAACAATGTACTCAGAAAGATACTTAGTATCGTAGTAAGGGAAACAATACTCAGATACTTAGTATCATAGTAGTAAGGGAAACAATATACTCAGATCAAGTATAGTTAATTCTGCCTGGATAGATCTTGAAGGCTTCCTAGATGTAGATAGAAGCATTTGAGAGGACTATAAAGGCTTTGTCAAAGGTCGATCAAGACTTGCTTGACAGAACAACATGCAAAGACCTGGTCCTGAATGGGCTACAATGGATTGACCTTATATGAGGTCTTCCCCCCGCCCCGCCCCGCCCACTTCTACAACTTGCTGCTTTTACCATTATCAATATTACTTTGTACATCTTCAGTTGGTATCAGTTCTGTCTGTCCTGTGCCTCTGTATTCATCTATATTGTGGAAAGTATTTCAACAGCTGGGCACAGCTATGTAATTATGTAACTCCAGTTGCATGTATAAGTAGGTAACTTTAAGTGTAGCTGCTATTTAAGGCTTCTAAAGTAGCATGGCTTCTAAGGCAACTGATCAAAAAATGCCAAAGAATGAATTTGTGACCAGTATATTAACTACTTTGGCCCAACCAGACCTTCAACAACAATGCAAATGGTTATTCCTGCGGTCGTTTTCACTGGCCTCTGATATTGCCAGGATGAGTAACTGCAAATAAGGATTTGTAGGGTTAGGCACTAAAACAGTCATGTATTTACAGAACCTTTAGGTTCCCTTTACAAAAAGATTGCATTTTATTCAAGTTCACCACCAAAGTTGCCAGACTAGAATAGTCTAAGCAAGGAGTAAGAAGGATGGATTCGGGAGATAGCTTGAAGGTACAGTGAGTGCTTGCTCTGTACCCACAGGGGCTATGTTCTAAGGCCCCCAGTGAATTCCTGAAACCACAGGTAGAACCTAACCCTGTATATACACTACATGTTTTCTTGTACGTACATACCTATGATACTGTATAAATGAGTCACAGACTCTCGTACTTCGGGGCATGATTAAGTCACATAAGGGCACAAGCAGTGCAGTGCCACCATGCTCATCTGGTAACCAAGATGGTTCCTAAGCGGCTCTACATGGATATGCTAGATAAGGATGATTCACGTCCAGGCAGGACAGTGGGATGGCGTGAGATTTTCACACGCTTCTCAGACTGGTGGCACAATTTAAAACACAAGTTGTTTATTTCTGGAATTTTCCATTTTGTATTTTCATATTCTGGTTGACTGCTGGTAACAAACCACAGAAAGTGAAACTGCAGACAAGGGGGGACCACTGTAGACAGTTACAGATCATCCTGCCTAGACAACTGCAGTACCTCCTACATGAACTCGCCACCCCCAATCCATTCTTTACCTAGCAGCAAGAGAAAAATACTAGTATCATGGAGCTCTCTGCTCAAAACCTTTCAGTTTATTAAAAATAAAGTTTTGCAGTTTACAGGGCCTAGGTGATCTGGACACTGCCTAATTTTCTAACTCCATATCTAGTGCTTATGTTCATTGTGGGATCAGAGAACCTACTTTATGGCACTTTCATGATAAGAAGCAATATATTGCTGGGTACAGTGGCTCACACCTGTAATCCCAGCACTTTGGGAGGCTGAGTTCAAGACCAGCCTGGCCAACATGGTGAAACCCCATCTCTACTAAAAATACAAAAATTAGCCAGGTATGGTCACGCACGCTTGTAGTCCCAGCTACTTGGGAGGCTGAGACACGAGAATTGCTTTAATCCAGGAGGCAGAGGCTGCAGTGAACCAAGCCTGGGCGACAGAGTGAGACTCTGTCTCAAAAATAAAAATAAAGCAATATATTCTCAGACTGTGTATTCTCTGGGCCTCAGTTTATCTGTAAAATGGGCTCTTGACACTTCACAAGATTGCTATTGTAACAGAGGAAATATGTCTATTGCAGAGCACAGTGCCTGACAACTATTTTAGCTGCTTTTTCACCATAATCTCTTTTAAACAACTTTGAGGTAATACAATTCAAAGTATACAATTCAATGGTTTTAAATATGTGCAACAATCACCACAGTCAATTTCAGAACATTTCATCACCTAAGAATTTCTGCACCTTTTAGTTACCCTACTTCCCATCCCTAAGCAACCACTAATGTGCTCTGCAGATTTCCCTTCCTGGGCAAAAGTTTCCTGTGAGTGGAATCATATATAGTCTTTTGTGACTGGCTTCTTTCACACAGCGTGTTTTCAAGGTCCACCCATGTTGCAGCATATATTAAAACGTCATTCTCTATGGCTGGTGAATATTCAGTATTCTATTTTGTGGATACACAAAGTTTTGTTCATCAGTGGAAGGACACTTCAGTTGGTTCTGCATTTTGCCTATTATTAATGACTGCTAAGTTTTTGTGTGGGCATGTTTTCATTTCTCTTGGTTATATACCTCAGCATTGAATTGCTGAGCCATATGGTAACTATGTTTCATCATTTGAGATATTCCCAGATTGTCCTCCAAAGCAGCTGTGCCAACGTATATTCCCAACAGCGGTACATGAGGGCTCCACGTTGTTCACCTCCTTGCCAACAATTGTTATCTGACTTTCCAATTACAGTCATCCTAGCTGATGTGAAGTGGCCTGTCGTGGCTGTGATTTACATTTCTCTAGTGACTAATGATATCAAGCATCTTTTTAGGGGTATTTGTGTATCTTCCTGGAGAAGTATCAATTCAGATTCTTTGCTCATTTTTTAAACTGGGTCATCTTTATTATTGAGCTGATCTTTATAGATTATGAATATGAATCCTTATCAGATACATGATTTGCAAATTTTCCTCCCATTCTGTGGACTGTATTTTTCACATTCTCAGTGTTCTTTGAAGCAGAAACATTTTAAATGTTGGCAATTTTCTTGCTTTGCTTTAGATGTCATATCTAAGAATCCCTTGTCCAATCCAAGGCCATGCAGATTTACTCCTGTTCTCCTAAGGCTTTTATAGTTTTAGCTCTTACGTTTAGGCTTTTAATTCAAGATAATTTTGTATATAGTAAGAGTTCATTTTTTTTTTTTTTAAGAGACAGAGCCTCACTGTGTCACCCAGGCTGGGGGGCAGTGGTGTGATCAAAGCTCGCTGTAACCTCAAACTCCTGGGCTCAGGTACTCCCCGTACTTCAGCCTCCAAAATAGCCAGGGCTATAGGTATGTGCCACTATGCCCAACTTTTTTTTCTTTTTTTAATCGAGATAGGGTCTCACTATGTTGCCAGGCTGGTCTCAAACTCCTGGCCTCAAGCTATCCCCCTACCTCAGGCTCCCAAAGAGTTGAGATTACAGGCGTGAGCCACTGCATCCAGCCAATTTCATTCTTTCTCACATAGCTATCCCATTCTCCCAGTATCATTTCTTAAAAAGGCTCTTCTTTTCCCCATTGGATGGTTCTAGCAGCCTTGTTGAAAAATCAGCTGACCATAGATGTCAGGGTTTATTTTTGGACTCAATTCTATTAATTTGTATGTCTGTCCTTGTCAATACCACACTGCCTTCATTACTGTTGGTTTGTATTAAGTTGTGAAATCAGGAAGTGTGAATTCTACTTTTTTCTTCATTTTCAAGATTGTTTTAGCTACTATGGGTCCTTTGCAATCCATATGAATTTTAGAAGCAGCTCATCATGGCCAGGCATGGTGGCTCACGCCTGTAATCCCAACATTTTGGGAGGCTAAGACGGGTGGATCACCTGAGGTCAGGAGTTCGAGACCAGCCTGATCAACATGGTGAAACCCTGTCTCTAAGAAAAATACAAAAATTAGCCAGGCATGGTGGTGGGCGCCTGTAATCCCAGCTATTCAGGAGGCTGGGGCAGGAGAATTGCCTGAACCCGGGAGGCAGAGGTTGCAGTGAGCTGAGACTGTGCCACTGCACTCCAGCCTGGGTGACAGAGTGAGACTCCGTCTCCAGAAAAAAAAAAAAAAAAAAAAAAAAAAAAAATTAGCTCAGCATTTTCTACAAAGAAGTCAGGTGGGTTCTCCTAGGGATTGCACTGGATCTGTATGTTAGTTTGGTGAATACTGCCTTCCAAATGACCTTAAGTCTTCTGATCCACGAACATAGGATGTTTTTTCAGTCTCTGGTTTCTTAGTTTCTTTCAACAAAGTCATATAGCGGGCCCGGTGCAGTGGCTCACGCCTGTAATCCCAGCACTTTCGGAGGCTGAGGCGGGCGGATCACGAGGTCAGGAGATCGAGACCATCCTGGCTAACACGGTGAAACTCCGTCTCTACTAAAAATACAAAAAATTAGCCGGGCGTGGTGGCGGGCGCCTGTAGTCCCAGCTGCTCAGGAGGCTGAGGCAGGAGAATGGTGTGAACCCGGGAGGCGGAGCTTGCAGTGAGCCGAGATCGCGCCACTACACTCCCAGCCTGGGCGACAGGGTGAGACTGTCTCACAAAAAAAAAAAAAAAAAGTCATATCGATTTCAGAGTATGGTTTGTACTTCTTTCATTAAATGTATTCCTATTTTATCATTATTTATTTATTTATTTTTGAGACAGTTTTTCACTCTTGTTGCCCAGGCTAGAGTGCTGTGGCACAATCTCAGCTCACTGCACCCTCCACCTCCCAGGTTCAAGCGATTCTCCTGCTTCAGCCTCCCAAGTAGCTGGGATTACAGGTGCCCTCCACCATGCCCGGCTAATTTTTTTGTTTGTATTTTTAATAGAGACAGGGTTTCACCATGTTGGCCAGGCTGGTCTCGAACCCCTGACCTCAGGTGGTCCACCCACCTTGGCCTCCCAAAGTGCTGGGATTACAGGCGTGAGCCACTGCACCCGGCCTTATAATTTTTTATTTTTGTGGGTACCCACAAAATTATGTAACTGCCTTACAGTTAAAGGGGGGCGTGCCACACCATGCAGAGCCACATGGGGAAGTACCAAGAACAGGCAAAACAAAGGAGAGAGCAGGACTTAGAGCTTTTGCCGTAGTTTCTGCAGGAAGGAATGGGCAAGGCAGAGGAGACAAGTTTGACAAGTTTAGGATTGGATAGTATGAATAATTTTGATGGACTCTGACCTTTAAGAGTGGTCTTTAGTTGTTTCGTACCTGGCCTTGGGGGTGATTTAGAGCAGGGGAAGTACTGGCTTGGTGTATAGGAGTTAGATAGAGGAGGTAGTTGGGGATACGGGCTTTGATTGGTGTATAGGAGTTAGATAAAGGAAGTAGTTGGGGATATGGGCTTTGACTGCTGTATAGGACTTAGATAGAGGAGGTAGTTGGGAATATGGGCTTTGATTGGTGTACAGGAGTTACACAGAGGGGGTAGTGGGGATATGGGCTTTGATTGATTGGTTTGCACATGAAAGGCAAGTTGTTTGCTATCTCTAAGAATCTGATAGCCTTGGTGAGCTGCAGGACGTCAAACCATCATAAAGTATAGATCTCCACAGGATGCCATAGTGAATAGTGCTATGTTTTCCTGAGGAGATATAAGACTTAGCTACTCGGCCGGGCGCGGTGGCTCACGCCTGTAATCCCAGCACTTTGGGAGGCCGAGATGGGCGGATCACAAGGTCAGGAGATCGAGACCATCCTGGCTAACAAGATGAAACCTCGTCTCTACCAAAAATACAAAAAAATTAGCTGGGCATGGTGGTGAGTGCCTGTAGTCCCAGCCACTTGGGAGGCTGAGACAGGAGAATGGCGTGAACCCGGGAGGCGGAGCTTGCAGTGAGCCGAGGTCATGCCACTGCACTCCAGTCTGGGTGACAGAGCGAGACTCAGTCTCAAAAAAAAAAAAAAAAAAAAAAGACAGCTACTCATAATTATGACATAATCATGATTGGTAATGTGGGGAAGCAAATGTCTCAAAGCTTCTATACATATGTATATATTTTTTCATATATACAGAAAATTTTAAAATACGATTAATACAATAATTTCCGTTGTTGAACCAACTTTGAAGCCCTAGGATAAATTCCATTTGGTCGTGGTATGCAATTCTTTTTATACATTGCTGGATTTAGTTTCATAGTATTTTGTTGAGGATTTTTGCACGCATAATCATAAGAGATAATGGTTTGTAATTGTGTTTTTTCTTTTTGAGACGCAGTCTCACTCTGTCACCCAGGCTGGAGTGCAGTGGCGCAGCGTCAGCTCACTGCAACCTCCACCTCCTGGGTTCAAGCAATTCTCATGCCTCAGCTTCTTGAGTAGCTGGGATTACAGGCACCCACCACCACGCCCGGCTAATTTTTGTATTTTTAGTGGAGACACAGTTTCACCATGTTGGTCAGGCTGGTCTCGAACTCCTGACCTCATGATCCACCTCCCTCAGCCTCCCAAAGTGCTGGGATTACACGTGTGAGCCACCGTGCCCGGCATGTAGTTTTTTGTTTGTTTTTGTTTTTCTGAGACAGAGTCTCACTCTGTCGCCCAGGCTGGAGTGCAGTGGCACAATCTTGGCTCACTGCAAGCTCTGCCTCCTGGGTTCAGGCCATTCTCCTGCCTCAGCCTCCCAAGTAACTGGGACTAAAGGCACCTGCCACCACGCCTGGCTAATTTTTTCTATTTTTGGTAGAGATGGGGTTTTACCATGTTAGCCAGGATGGTCTCGATCTCCTGACCTCGTGATCCACCCGCCTCGGCCTCCCACAGTGCTGGGATTACAGGCGTGAGCCACCGCGCCCGGCCAGCATTTCTACTTCTATGTCTTCCCTTGTTCTAGGTCTATTTAGATTTTTTTCTTGAGTCAATTTCTGTTATTTCTGCCTTTGTAGGAATTTATTTCATCTAAGTTATCTAATTTGTTGGTATTTATTTGTTCAAAGTATTCCTTTATAATCCTTTCTTTAATCATAGTTTTCTTTCATTCTGTGAATATATTCATAATGACTACTTTAAAAGTATTTTTCTGATAAATCCTGCATCTGCTCACTCTGTTTTTGTTACCTGTTTCTTCCTCAGTGTATGGATCATACTTTCCTGTTACTTTGCGTGCCTCCTAATTTTTTCTTAGAAACTGGACATTGTAGATATATTGTAGCAGCTCCTAGCTCTGCGTCTCCTCTGTGGCTTGTTACTTTCATTTGCCAGTTTGTTTAGTGACTGGCTGAATTATTTTAGTAAAGTCTATTATGTCCCCCAGCCCCCACCGTTGTTCCTTAGGGAAGCACAGTTTTGGGTCTGCCCCAGTCACGCTGGGAGAACAATGGTTTTGGTAGGGCCCCCTTCCTGTCTTTCCTTGCCCATGCCCAGCTGTTAAACTTCACTATTTGCTGGCTGATTATTGTTTTCAACAATGTCCTGGGGTATAAATTGCTTTACAAGTGAATCTGATCAAATTCTGCTTCCTTTGCAGGGAATCGTTTCTAAAACCAGTGTTTGATATTTTTTGACCTTCCAGCTATCTTATTCTCCAGTTCATCCCCACAAATTAGAGGGCATACACTTTTACTTGTATTTGACTCTTTTCTCAGTTGTCTTTCATCACAACCTCCACCATTCTCGAGGGCATCCTTAGGCTTGAACTTCCCCAATCTGTTACAAATGAAGTCAGTTCCTTTAGGAAGAGATGTTAGGCACCATGGGTTGTATGGCCTAATTATCCCCCAGGCAAAATCTCTAAGCCAGAGCTCTGGAATTGGATGTGTGAACAATAGTCAATTGCTCTTCAGATGACACCTGCTCTAGGAGCTGAGTCCTCAGTGGAGGTGGGGTCCTAGCCTAAGGTCCTCTCAGCTTGTCTCTCCTGGTGTTGAACCCTCTCAGGACCCAGGGCAAAAGTGGTAAGTACTCCAGTAAGCTCAGCATGCTGCAACCAAAATAGAGCCTCCATTCCTCGAGTGAGAGCTGGGTGTGAAAGGGAGACCCCCAATTAACCTGACACTTGGCCTCACTAACAGGTAGAGAGAGGCAGAATGAGAAATGCTAATATCTTGATCTTCCTGGAAGAAAGTCCTCCAGCTGCGATCTGGAGCAGAGACAGAACCCTGTGTTACTGGCTCTAGCTGTCCAGAGTGGAATCTCCACCTTCCTGAGCTGGCAGGGAAAGGAAAGGAATGATCTTGCTTCAAATACCACAAACTCTTTTCTTACCAAATTTTAGTACATTTTCTTGAATAGATGCTTTTTTTTTTCTTTTTGAGACAGTCTCACTCTGTCGCCCAGGCTGGAGTGCCGTGGTGCAATCTCAGCTCACTACAGCCTCCACCTCCCAAGTTCAAGCTATTCTTATGCCGTAGCCTCCTGAGTAGCTGGGATTACAGGCACCTGCCATCACACACACATAATTTTTGTATTTTTAGTAGAGACGGGGTTTCACCATGTTGGCCAGGCTGGTCTCAAACTCCTGACCTCAAGTCATCCGCCCGCCTTAGCCTCCCAAAGTGCTGGGACTACAGGTGTGAGCCACCGCGCCCGGCCATGAATAGATGTTTCTTCATGTGCTGTTTGTCCTTAGGACCATTAAAAAGTGTTTTTTTTTCTTCATTTTCATTTTTTAATGGATAATTTTTCACTAGTTTTACTGGGGAGTTCACCAGTTATGCAGGAAGTCAGTATCTCCACTACTGTAGTTATTGTTATTAGTATACCTGGGTGTTAGAGAGCCAGCTCTTCTCAGAAAGTTAATGTGACTAGAGACAAGCCTTTCAAAAATTCCGAGGGAGTACAGGAACAACTGCTTGTCATAATAGCTGCTAAAAGTAACACAATTAGAGAACAAACTGAGGGAAGGGTAAGTTCTTGGCTTAATTTCTTACTAGGTATAAAGACTTGCAAAACAATGAACTTGGATAACAAAGAGAAACTGGAATGATTGACTCCGAATTTGTAATTTGACTGTAGAGAGAGAAGAATTCTGGGAGCAAATGTGTGATTTCCATGCATTCCAGAACTACCACCACTACACAGGACCCTAAGAATCCAGAGCATGTGAAGACATTTACTTTTGACCTGGCATATTGGTCTCACAATGGATTTCAAAGGGATAAGGATGGTGTCCTTATTTCAGCTGATCCTAGTCGTAAATTTGCAGGCCAGGTAAGTTGCTTTAAAACACAGCTTCAATGCCAGTTTTTTGTTGTTTTGTTTTTGATGATGTGTTCACAGTGTGAAAGTATAATAATTTTATGCAAGCATAAATCTATGTTTCCATATGAGAATTTCACTTTAAATTTACTCCTTTTCTATGCTGAACGTGAGGTCCAAAAACACAGCTATGGCCTAAGTAATTTTTAGATACTCAAATCAGTTCATTTGCCAATGTATTGACACACTGAAAAAGGTATGACAGTCAAGTCAATTATATTTTGCTTCCTTGAGATAAGCAAAATAAGCAAACTGTATGAGGCACTTAGCATCTGAGAACTTCTGTTTTAATGAGCATTTATCATATGCCATGCACTGTTCTGCCTGAAAGTTGCTCACAATTTGGTTTGGGGAGACAGGAAAAAAGTACACTCAGATGTTACAGGCTCTGTGATAAGATGTATGGGATACAGTGGGGTACAAAGGTGAGGTGGTCATTCAATCTAGACAGGATATCTGGTGAATGGTTTAATAAAGGGTATGATGTTTAGGCTGAATTTTGACAGACAAGGAGAAACAGTCAGAAAAAGTTATGGGGAGGAAATGAACAGAGCCTCAGTGACATGTGGGACAATCTTACTCTACATGTAATTGGAGTCACAGAAAGAATGGGAGGGGCGTGTGTGCAAAAAATACTTGAAGGAATGATGGCTGAAATTTTCCCAAATTTGATGGAAACTATAAACCCACAGGTCTAAGAAGAGCAATAAGTCCTAAGTAGAATAAGGAAAATCACAGTAAGTCTCATTTTAATTAAATTGCTCTAATCCAGTGATAAAATCTTAAAACAAGTGAGAAAAGATGGAGGAACAACAAGAATGACCGCAGATATATTGTCAGAATTATGCGAGCTAGAACACAATGGAGAGACTTACGAGCTGAAAGCAATTCTCAACCTTGGGCAGGAGCAGTGGTTCATGCCTGTAATCCCAGCACTTTGAAAGGCCGAGGCAGGTAGATTGCTTGAAGTCAGGAGTTCAAGACTAGCCTGGCCAACATGGTGAAACCCCATCTCTCCTAAAAATACAAAACAAAACTAGCTGGGCATGGTGGCACATGCCTGTTATCCCAGCTACTAGGGAGGCTGAGGCAGGAGAGTCACTTGAACCCAGGAGATGGAGGTTGCAGTGAGCTGAGATCACACCACTGCGCTCTAGCCTGGGTGACAGAATGAGACTCCATCTCAAAAAAAAAAAAAAAGAAAAGAAAAGAAATTCTCAACCTAGAACACTGTGCCCAAGAAAATTTTTTTCTAATTTTGAATCTTTCAGAAAGATCACTGATTGTCAAAGCAAGAATAAATTCTGTTGGGATTCAAAACAAATACAGAAATAAAATATGACTACACCAAAAAAAACGAGACAGCTACCAGAAGTATATTGTTTGAAGGTTTTGCATTATAGAGGAAGTAATATAATATTTGAAAATAAAATATTTTAAAGAAATCTATTGTGACCCTAGAGCACAGGGTTTGTTTTATTACAAACACAGGGTGATGTTTTATTAACATCAGTTAATAAAAACATTAAAAATCCATTACTAGTAAACATACATAATATAAAAATATTTTTATGAAAAGTAATTTTTTTTATTATTTATTGATTTATTTATTTTGAGATGGAGTCTCACTCTGTCACCCAGGCTGGAGTGCAGTGGCGCAGTCTTGGCTCACTGCAACTTCTGCCTCCCAGGTTCAAGCGATTCTCCTGCCTCAGCCTCCCAAGTAGCTGGAATTACAGGTGTGTGCCACCACACCTGGCTAATTTTTGTATTTTAGTAGAGATGGGATTTCACCATGTTGGCCAGGCTGGTCTCGAACTCCTGACCTCAAGTCATCCGCCCGCCTCAGCTCCCAAAAGAGCTGGGATTACAGGTGTGAGCCATCACGCCCGATCTATTTTTATTTTTCTTTAGAGATGAGCTCTTGCTCTGTTGCCCAGCCTGGTCTCGAACTCCTAGGCTCAAATGATCCTTCTGCCTCTGCCTCCCAAAGTGATGGGATCTTAAGTGTGAAACACCATGTCAGGCCAAAAAATAGTACTCGAGCCGACACTGAAGAGAATGGCACTGCTTTCCATTTTTTGAAATCTCTGTAATGTCTGACTTCATGAAAGAGCTTGATTCTCTGCCCTGCATGTCATCTATAAAATCACGTTACATAGCCTCTGGCAAATCCCACTGCACACGTTACTCCACTCTACGCTCATGAGAGGATGAGAATGAAAAAAGCAAACATTAGTACGATCACAAAAGGAAGTGTCACTTTACAAACACCCTGAAAAGATCTCACAGACCCTGGAATGCACTGTGTGAACTGATGCCCTAGAGCAATCAATACAAAATAAATAAATAAAACAAGTATAACTAACTAATGAGTCAAGTGTGGGGAAACGGAACTATAAAACATTCTTTACCCCTCTTATCCTGCCATGTTTGGGATTTAGACACAGAGGAGATGGGATAAGTAGAATACAAATAGCAAGACAGTAGATTTAATGCCAATAATTTATATCAATTATTATGTAAAACATAAATAGTCTAAACATGACCAATTAAAAAGCAAAGATCATCAGATAAGATAGAAAAAGCAGGATCCAACTATATCTGTCTACAAAATGTGTGTGTGGGTTGGGGGTGGTTTAAGTGCTTCTGTATCACAGGATTTTTAAAAACCTGGTTTACATATTTAAAAAAAAAGCATGAAAACACTAACAAAAAAAAAAACTAGAGGCTACATTTACATCACATTGCATAGGCTTCAGAACAAGAAATATTTAATAATGAGGAAAGAGTTCATTAAGGAAACATAGCCAGCCTGAATGGGTATGTACCTAAAAAATGAGCTTTAAAGTAAACAAAGCAAAAATAGAAACAGAAAAATAGACAAATCTACAACTGTATTTAGTGATTTCAACACTCCTAGCTATCTCAGTAATTGACAAAACTGTCATATTATAGAAGAGCAGAATAATATCAACCTAATTGACAATTATATCATAAAACATGTCAACCACTTCCCACCCAACCACAGCACACGCATTCTTTCTTTGTAAGTACACACAGAACATTCATCATGATAGACAGTATTTCAGATCATAAAACTCGCCTCAATAAATGTGAGTGTAAGAGGACTGAAATTGGCTGGGCATGGTGGTGTGTGGCTATAATCCTAGCACCTCGGGAGGCCAAGACAGGTGGATCGCCGGAGCCCAGGAGTTTGAGACCAGCCTGGATAACATGACGAAAAACCGTCTCTGCTAAAAATACAAACAATTAGCTGGGCATGGTGGTGCGCGCCTGTGGTCCCAGCTACTTTGGAAGCTGAGGTGGGAGGATCACTCGAGCCCAGGAAGTCAAGGCTGCAGTGAGCCGTGATTGCACCACTGCACTCCAGCCTGGGCAATAAGAGTGAGATCCTGTCTCAAAAAAAAAAAAAAAAAAAAAAAAAAAAAAAATTGAAATCATATGAAGTATGTTTTCTGACCACACTGGAGTTAAACTAGAAGAAAAATATTTGGGAAATTCACAAGCATTTGGAAAATAGCAGACTTCTAAATAATCCATTGGTTAAAGAAAAAACCACTAGGGAAATTAGAAAACATTTTTTTTAACTGAATGAAAATCAAAACACTACTTACAAGGAAGAGGCCAGAGAAACAGTATTACAAAAAATAAAAAATAAGTTTAAAAAAATGTTTAAAAGACAAAAAAAAGGCAACTCAAGACACCTGTCAAAATGTGTAGAACAAGCATGGAGTATGCAGTCAGGATAGACAAATATATACACACACACACATATACACACACATACACACACACCTATACACACCTATACACACACATACACAAATATACACACACATATACACACACAAATATACACACAGATACACACACATATACACACAAATATACACACAGATACACACACATATACACAAATATACACACACAGATAACATATACACACAAATATACACACATATACACACATATACACATATACACACAGATACACATATACACACATACATATACACACAAATATACACATATACACACATACATACACACATACATATACACACATACACACAAATACACATACACACTACACATGCACACATATACACATGTACACACATACACATACACGCATACACACATATACACAAACACACAGAATACATATGCACACACATACACACATACACATACACACATACACAAACACACATACATGTATACAGATACACAAATACACAGACATACATATACATATATACAAATATACATATACACACACAAATACACACACCCATATACACACATACACACACACATATATACACACATATATTTTCATATGTGGGACGCATCTAAATGGAGCTGGGGGAGGTTTTCTAGCAGTCAAGCTTACATTAGAGAATCATCATCTCAACTTGGCATTGTAATCTTCCAGTTAAGAATTTAAAAAGAGAGCAAATTAAACATAAAACAAGCAGCAGAAGAAAAAAGATAAAAGTGATAATTAATGAAACGAAAAACAGTAAAACAATAGAGAAAAAACACTGAAACCTAAAGCTGGTTCTTTGAAAACATCCATAAAATTGATAAGCCAAATACCAAGAGCATAAGTGATCCCAGGGACATTAAAAGACTGAGAAGGCTGGGTGGCTCACAACTGCAATCCCAGCACTTTGGGAGGCTGAGGCTGGAGACTGCTTGAGGCCAGGAGCTTCAGGCCAGCCTGGGCAAATCTCCCTTTTTTAAAAAGAGTGATTAAAAATATTTTGAACAACTTAATGCCAATACATTCAACAACAAATGGACACAAGCTACTGAAGTTCATGCAAAGAAATAGATGACTCAAATAGTCCTGTATCTATTAAATAAATTGAATTTGTACCTAAAAACCTCACAAAGAAACTCCATTTCCAGGTATCTTTGCTGGTGAATTCTACCAAAGAAAGAAATAAAAAAAAAATGCAGATCATAGTAAACACTCCCATTTCATTTTACAAAGCCAGTATTCCAACAAGAGCAGCCAAAGATATTACAAAAACACTATAGGCCATTATCTTTCATGAACACAGACACAAAAATTATTATCAAAGTTTCAGCAAACACAATCGAATCATATATCGGGTGGGCCTTAATATATTACTGTCACTATCAATCAAGCCCAATCACTATCAAGTGGGCCCTTTCCTGGGAATGTAAAATTGTTTTAACATTTAAAGTTCATGATCTAGAATAGAATATAGGAGAAAAAATATGATTGGCTGCAAAAAGAATGACAAAATTTAACCCTCAATCATAAAATTCTCAACCTCTCAACAAATGAGAGGAAGTTTCCTAGAAATAGAACTTGCCTGGAAAGCAGCTTCCATCATGTTTGATGGTGAAGCAGGTGTTCTCCATAGGACGGCAGGCAAGCCAAGGGTGTCTATTCCCGTCACTGCTATACAACATTCACTACAAGTTCTAGCCAGGGCAAAGACCATTGGTAGGAAATAAGAAATACGCTGATTGAGAAGAAGTAGGCTGGGCAGGTGGCTCACGCCTTTGGGAGGCCAAGGCAGGAGGATCACTTGAGGTCAGGAGTTCCAGACCAGCAGCCTGACCAACATGGTGAAACCCTGTCTCTACCAAAAAATACAAAAATTAGCCGGGCATGGTGGTGCACGCCTGCAATCCCAGCTACTTAGGAGGCTGAGGTAGGAGAATCACTTGACCTGGGGAAGCAGAGGCTGCAGCAATCTGAGGTCACACCACTTCACTCCAGCCTGGACAAGTGTGAGACCTTGTCTCAAAAAATAAAAGAAAAAGAAGGCTGGGCACGATGGCTCATGCCTGTAATCCCAGCACTTTGGGAGGCCGAGGCAGACGGATCACCTGAGGTCAGGAGTTCAAGACCAGCCTGGCCAACACAATGAAACCTGTCTCTACTAAAATTACAAAAAAAAAAAAAAAAAATTAGCTGGGCTTGGTGGTGGGTGCCTGTAATCCCAGCTACTTGGGAGGCTGAGGTAAGAGAATCACTTGAGCCCAGGAGGAAGAGGTTACAGTAAGCTGAGATCGCATCACTGCATTCCAGCCTGGGCGACAGAGGGAGACTCCGTCTCAAAAAAAAAAAAAAAAAAAAAAAAGAAAGAAAAGAAAGAAAAAAGAAAAAGAAGTAAAACTATTTGCAGATGACATGAATCCTGCTGAGGCAGAAGGATCACTTGAGGCCAGGAGTCCAAGACCTCAGTGGGCTATAATCGCACCTGTGAATGGCACCTGCAGTCCAGCTTGGGCCACATAGTGAGGCCTTATCTCCAAAAATAAAATAAAAAATAAAAATCCTAAGTGCTCTACAAAACAAAAAAGCTACTACAGTTAATAACTGTGTTTAGAAAAGTCAATATACAGAAAGCAATAGTATTTCTCTAAACTATAATAGCGATGAACAATTGGAAAATGAAATTTTTAAATATGAACAATAGTATCAAAAACATGAAACACTTTAACGATAGATTTAGCAAAATATGTGCAAAAACTGAGCTCTGAACACTATAAAACATTACTGAAAGGAAGACTTAAATAAATAAGAAGACAATATTATTCAGAAGTCAAATTGATCAACAAATTCAAAGCAATCCCAATCAAAACCCCAGCAGGCATTTTTGATAGAAATTGATACACTATTTCAATAATTTACATGGAATTGTAAAAAGGACTCAGAATGGCCAAAATTATTTTGAAAGAGAATGAAGTTGGAGAACGTAAAACCCATCGCAAAGCTACAGTAATCAAGATAGCATGGTATTGGTTTTTTATTATTTATTTATTTTTGAGAGGGAGTTTCCCTCTTGTAGCCCAGGCTGGAGTGCAATGGCGTGATCTGAGCTCACTGCAACTTCAGCCTCCAGGGTTCAAGCGATTCTCCTGCCTCAGCCTCCCGAGTAGCTGGGATTACAGGCACATGTCGCCATGCCTGGCTAATTTTTGTATTTTTAGTAGAGATGGGGTTTCCTCATGTTGACCAGGCTGGTCTCAAACTCCTGACCTCAGGTGATCTGTCTGCCTCAGCCTCCCAAAGTGCTGGGTTACAGGTATGAGCCAGCACACCTGGCCTGGTACTGGTTTAAAGATAGACATATGGATCAATGGAACAGAATAGAGTGTCCAGAAATAGACCCTCATACATATCATCAACTGATTCTCTACAAAGGTGCTGTAATGGGTTGAATAGTGACCCCCCAAAATTCACGTCCATCTAGAACTTCAGAATGGGACCCTACGTGCAAACAGCATCTTGGCAGATGAGGCCATACTGGATTTGAGGGAGCCCTAAGTCCAATCCTTGTAGGGAGGAGGAAATTTGGACACTCAGACATGGGGAACCATGTGGCAGAGGACACCAAGTGGAGCGAAGCAGCAGCGAGGGGAGGAGCCCTGAGCACCACCGGGAGCCACCAGAAGCTAGGGAGAGGCAAGGGAGTCTTCTCCTCTAGAGGCTTCTGAGGCAGCGTGGCCATGCCAACACCTGGGGTTTGTTTTGTTTTTTGAGACAGAGTCTCCCTCTGTTGCCCAGGCTGGAGTACAGTGGTGCAATCTCGGCTCACTGCAACCTCCGCCTCCCAGGTCCAAGTGATTCTCCTGCCTCGGCCTCCTGAGTAGCAGAGATTACAGGCACCTGCCACCACACCTGGCTAATTTTTTGTATTTTAGTAGAGATGGGGGTTTCACCATGCTGGCCAGTCTGGTTTCGAACTCCTGACCTCAGGTGATCCACCACCTTGGCCTGCCAAAGTGCTGGGATTACAGGCATGAGCCACCGCGCCTGGCCCATATTACTTGTTTAAAGTTTTCAATCCATAAAAATTAAGCACACACACAAAATGTTTTCCGAAATCTCCAATAGCACTGAGAAAACAAAACAGCAAAACTAGTTACTTTTACTTGGTAGGCATGTGTTAGGTTTAGCACACAGCTTCTACAGTAGAGTCAACATCTGTTACACTAATATATTTCTTCTGGTAAAAGTACAGTCACAGTGTTCTGGGAAACCACTGGTGAGACTCCACATTTTAAAGTCTAGAGCTCCCCTAACCCTTTTGGTGGAATAATTTTTATCCCTTTCTCAAATATTACATGAACGTTGGTTATTGTCTATTGTCCTCATGTAAATCACACTATGTTGGTATGTGCATTTTCCCCAGAAACATGAAATAAATTATACAAATGTATATATCGTAACAAATGGAATAATGCTTAGTGCTTTACCATTGCTATTAGAGAGTAGGAAGAAATATACACTTTGAAACAGCCTCAAATAAGATAACTATTGCGGTCTATGGTCACAGCCCAGATGATAAAAGGAGGCAGACCACATCCCCTCTCTTTCAGCAACAGTGGGCACAAACATTTCTATTTTAACTTAAAAAAGGGGGATGCACGTGTGTGTGTGTGTGTGTGTGTGTGTGTGTGTGTGTGTTCCAGAACCACTGGAAAAAGCAGAAAAAGAGAAGAGCTCACTAGCAGAGGACTAAAATCAGTGTGGCTATATTGTGATGTTATTGTTTGAGTCAACGAATAAAGTAGTAGAAAATGCTTTGACTGGCTTCTGTGCCTTGATATTTTTGTCTAATTGCTTAATTTTAAAGACCTGGCCCGTGTTTTGGCAAGGCTATGAACTATGCAATTTCATGACCAACAGGGATTAGCTAGTTTAGGATGTACCCGATGTGATCCATGAATGTAAATGATGAGTGTTTTCCAAATTGACAAATCCTTTCAGTTTCACTCCACCTGTTCTAAGCCGGCATCTGAGTTGTATTTCAAGCAGGTCATACGCTATGAATCGAGGTGGGATTTATGAAAGTCAGGATACTTATTCAGATTTAAGAGGACTCAGAAAGTAGGGAAGAGGAAATCTGCATGCCACTGGCCTGTGCTGAATATGCCACCTGTCATCTTTCCAGAGAGACGTCTTCCATGACCTTGGCAGGGGAATTCTGGACAGTGCTTGGCAAGGCTATAATGCAACTCTCCTAGCCTATGGCCAAACTGGCTCTGGGAAAAGCTATTCCATGATTGGGTTTGGTGCAAACAGGGTATTATTCCAACTGTGTGTGAGGAGCTCTTTCGAGCAATCGAGAACCAGGGGAGAAATCAAGAACACCAGGTACGTATTCTCGAATCCTTTCTTTAAGGGATTGGATTTTTTCATTCTGGACCCCTTCCCCAAATGGAAGTTCTCAGCATCTCTATTTTAGGATAATGTTTGTTTTTTATACCAAAATGTTTGTATGATTACAAAATCATGTTGCAGCTAAATAAGATGTTGGATTTTTCTGGTTATATGGAGGCAAATCCAAGGAAACTCACTCTGGTGTAATATTCTAGAAGCAGACATCTTAATTGCTAACACTAACAAGGGATTATTATTGGATATTGTTATTTGGTTTATAAAACAAAACCTTAGCCGACTCACGTCTGTGGCTCCCTTTGCCACCCTCTTCTGCCAAGGCTGTGGCTCTATTCTAGTCTTAATCAACTTGTTTTTATTTCTGAAGAATATTACTTCGTTTTTAAATTGTTTTTTTACACAGAGCATAGCCTCTTACTCGCCCTAGCATACGAGACCCAAGACCAAATTTTAGATTCACTGAACGCTGGTGACATTTTCAAGGTGGAGTGTACCATTAACATAATTAGCTTTAAAACATAACAGGAAAATGTCAGCAAATGCCTATAAGCATAGTTCATGGTTCTGCTTTCTTAAAATGGTAGGACTGTTTAAGCTGGTGTTATGAAAACGCAATAGAGCATTATTTTTTATCTTATTTTTCTGATGTTAATGGTAACATGTTCAAGTTAGAGAATTTTATAATATCACCTAACTACCATTAACATTTCAGTACATTTCTAATGTTTATTCATTTAGATTTTTATATTTATATTTTGTAGAGACTGGGGTCTTGCTATGTCACCCAGGCTGGTCTCAAACTCCTGACCTCAAGCAATCCCTCCTCCTTGGCCTCCTAAAGCTCTCAGATTACAGACATGAGCCACTGTGCCCAGCCTCTAATTTTTAATTCAAATATTTTCAAAGGCATACAAGTCTAGTTTAAAACCTCAAATAGCCAAGAGAAAGAATATGTCCACACAAAAACTCGTACATGAATTTTCCACGGCAGCATATCTGTAACAGCCACGAGGTGGAAACAGCCCAAACACCCATCCACTGATGAACAGTTGAATAAAATTGGTCTATCCTTACAACGGATGATTCAGCCTTAAAAAGGAATGAAATTCTAACACATTACAATGTGGACAAACCTTGGACATGTCATTCTAAGTACAAGAAGCCAGAGAAAAAAGACCACACACTGTATAATTCCATTTGAATGAAGTTTCCAGGAGAAGCAAATCTATAGAGATAGAAAAGAAATTGGCAGCTGCCTTGGGCTGGATGTTGTAGGGAGGGGAGGGGAGGGGAGGGGAGGGGAGGTGTTACAATGGCTTGCTTGTTTTTGCCCTTTGTTTTTTGAGACACAGTCTTGCTCTGTCGCCCAGGCTGGAGTGCAGTGGCGCGATCTCGGCTCACTGCAACCTCCGCCTCCCAGATTGAAGCAATTCTTGTGCCTCGGCCTCCTGAGTAGCTGGAATTACAGGCACACGCCACCACGCCTGGCTAATTTTTTTTTGTATTTTTACTAGAGACGGGATTTCGCCATGGCCAGGCTGGTCTCGAACTCCTGGCCTCAAGTGATCCGCCCGCCTCAGCCTCCCTAAGTGCTGGAATTATAGGTGTGAGTCCCTGTGCCCCGCTTTTTTTGCCCTCTTAATGGCACCCATCTCCCCAACTTCCCAAACAAAGGCCTTGGATGTCAGTCCGCCTGCCTTGACCCTGTGCCCCCCCCACCCCATGGGCGGCCTCCCATTTTTGCTGTGTTCCTCTGGTGATGGGAACTCAATGTGCTCACCAAGCAGCCCCGGTCATCAGAAAGCTGTGTCCCTGAAGCCTTCCATCTCCCGTGCAATTCCCACAACACGCATGCGCGCGTACACTGTCATGACGCAGCGTTCTGGGCAGGGCAGAGCTGGAGCCGGCGGGTAAGGCGGTGGGGCTGGGACTGCGGAAGCACAGGGCACCTGAGCAGATCGTTCACTCCAAGGGGTCAGGAGCCTCTCAGGACAGTCCGCGTTGGGGGCACTTGGCTGGCCCCTCTGTGCTCTCCACCGAAAAAGTGACTTGATCTTTTGTAAAAACTTGTTTTTAATTTTGTATAAAATAAAGGTGGTCCATGCCCACGGGGGCTGTAGGAAATCCAAGCAGACCAGCTGGGGTGGGGGGATGTAGCCTACCTCGGGGGACTGTCTGTCCTCAAAACGGGCTGAGAAGGCCCGTCAGGGGCCCAGGTCCCACAGAGAGGCCTGGGATACTCCCCCAACCCGAGGGGCAGACTGGGCAGTGGGGAGCCCCCATTGTGCCCCAGAGGTGGCCACAGGCTGAAGGAGGGGCCTGAGGCACCGCAGCCTGCAACCCCCAGGGCTGCAGTCCACTAACTTTTTACAGAATAAAAGGAACATGGGGATGGGGAAAAAAGCACCAGGTCAGGCAGGGCCCGAGGGCCCCAGATCCCAGGAGGGCCAGGACTCAGGATGCCAGCACCACCCTAGCAGCTCCCACAGCTCCTGGCACAGGAGGCCGCCACGGATTGGCACAGGCCGCTGCTGGCCATCACGCCACATTTGGAGAACTTGTCCCGACAGAGGTCAGCTATTGGGGGCAGGAAGGAGGCAGGGTCAGGGTGGAGCTGGGTGATGGGAACCGCTGCCCCTCCCCCAACCCCCCAACCACAGTACGTTCCCCCCCATACTCCCCAACCACAATACGTTCCCCCCATATACTCCCTACATTTAGGACAATGCTTATTATAACATTTGGTTAAATCAATAATTGTTAACATCTTATTATTTTTTCTTAACAGTTTCTGCCTCAGGATTTAATTGTTAACAGTTTAACTGCACAAGTATTGTTCACTGCTGCAGCAGATAATGCATACGTCCTTTCCACATTTTATTTTTCTTGGAATTTTTAATTGCCATTTTAATTAGGTTTACTTTTCTATAAATCTTTCTAAGTGCTCCAAATCACTGTCACATGCCTATTGACAAATCTCCATACACTCAAACGTGCTGGTACCATGATTTTTGGGGTCTCCCTCAGCAGGAGTCCTCAATTCTCCTACTACAATTTTATTAATTCTATTGGCACAATTTGGGGTACTGTTTCTACAGGGCTACCTCAACACTGTCATTCTGGAACTTGACTTCAACCTTCATCTTCGTTGGCTCCCCTGACTCCTGGATCCAATGTATTCTTCTTTCTTGATTTACTCTCTTTTTGCTGCAATTTCCTCAGAAAAGGTGCATCCAGAGTACTTTTTGGTTCATCCTTTGCACAACTGAAAATATCTTTTCGTACCTCCACACGTGATTGACATTTACCAGGAATGGAATTCTGAGAATATTGAAGGTCTCCGTTATATTTTAAGTTCTAGTGTTGCAGCTGGGAAGTTGGCTACCATTCTGACCCCCGGTTCTTTGTATGCAACCTTTTTTGACAGTCAGTTTATCTCTCGCAGCCTTCAGGGTCTTCTCATTATCCTTGGTGTTCTGATGTCTTAATGATTCTTTTTTCATTTATCATGCTGGACACTTGGTAGACCTTTTTCAATCTGGAGATTCCTGTCCTTCAGTTCTGGGAAACTTTTCTTATATTATTTATTATTTCATCTCCTGTATTTCTTGTTTTCCCTTTCTGAAATTCCTACTAATTGGATTTTGGGCCTCTTGTACTAATGTTCTAATTTTATGATCTTTTACAACCTATCTTGTATTTCTTGGTCTTTTCTTTTCTGAAAGAGATGGAGCCTCACTCTGTTGCCCAGGCTTGTCTTGAACTCCTGAGATCAAGGGATCCTCCTGGCATCAGCCTGTCAAGTAGCTGGAATTCCAAGTGTCAGCCACCACTGGTCTTTTTTATTCTGCATTCTAGAAGATTCCCTGAATGATATTATAACTTTCCTGCATTTTTATTTCGGCTGTCATTCATAAATTTAATTTACAAGCACTTTATTTTATTCTCCAGCTGTTCTTTTAAGTAAAATGCTCTTTTTTTCCATGGGTATAACTGGGTATCATTCTTTCTTTGAGGCTATTACTTCTAGGGCTTTAAAAAATATTTCTATGCTGAGCACGGTGGCTCATGCCTGTAATCCCAGCACTTTGAGAGGACGAGGGGGGCATATCACTTGAGGCTAGGAGTTCAAGACCCGCCTGAGCAAGACGACAAAATCCCGCCTCTACTAAAAATACGAAAGTTGGCTGGGCGTGGTGGCGTGATCCTGTAGTCCCAGCCACTCGAGAGGCTGAGGCAGGAGAATGGCTTGAGCCCAGCGGTTGAGGCTACAGTGAGCTGAGGTCGTACCACTGCATTTCCAGCCTGGGCGACAGCAGAACCTTGTCTTAAAAAAAATAAAAGAAAAGAAAAGAAAGAAAAATTCATTGCCTTTTACTCTCTCAGTCTGTTTTCTGAGTTCCTTCTTTCTACTTGTTTGCTTTGACCCCTCTCTCATATTGGAGGCTTTCTCTGTCTGCTAATGCTTGGCCCTTTGCTCATTTTTAAACATGAGACACTCTTACATGGATATATTACACATAGAAAATAAAAATAAAAAACATGAAACACACAGAAGCTAACAGGAAGCTCTGTGGCTGCACGGCCTGACAAGCAAGACTTACTGCGGGGTGACCCACAGGCAAGCCAGCTTTTTCTTGGGGGAGGTGGGAAAACGCCAGTACTTGAGGTCTTTGCTCTCGACTAGAGCCATTCGGAGTCCCCCAGTCCTGCTTAAGAGGTGCGAGCTTGGCTAGCAGGAGTCCAAGAGCATGGGAGGGTGGAGACCAGTCTCTCTACATGTGTTCAGGTTGGGGCATGAACATGAAAGAACCGCCTTTCTCTGTCCCCAGTCGAGACCAAAACACATATACTACTGTTTTGTATCTTTTTGTTGTTGTTGTTTTGAGATGGAGCCTCACTCTGTCGCCCAGGCTGGAGTGCAATGGCACGATCTCAGCTCATTGCAACCTCCGCCTCCCAGGTTCAAGTGACTCTCCTGCCTCAGCCTCCCAAGCAGCTGGGACTGCAAGCACCCGCCACCCTGCCTGGCTAATTTTTGTGTTTTTAGTGGAGGCGGGGTTTTACCATGTTGGCCAGGCTGGTCTCGAACTTCTGACCTCAGGTGATCCGTCAGCCTCGGCCTCCCAAAGTCCTGGGATTACAGGCGTGAGCCATCGCGCCCAGCCTATATCTGTTTTTAATTATAGTAAGAACTTCCTCCATATCATTATTTGAGAACCTCATATTGCACATTGAAACAGAACTTTGCTTTATTTAGTATCAGCTTTTTCCCCATTATTCAACATTTATGTTGTTTCCCTATCACTTCTCTGCCCCCAAAATAACTGTTTTGAGAGAATATTTACTTTGTATGCTCTTCTCCATACAGGTTATGTTCAGTATGCTAGAAATTTACAAGGAATAGGTAATAGAGATGTTTCTGACATGCAAATCTGGGCGACTCTGAAGCTCAGTGAACCTCTGGGACTCACGGTCACCTGTCCTGCCTGTAAACTCTGGCCCGGCCTCAACCACCCAGCCCCACCTACCTCTCCAACTTCATCAACGTCCCCTTCTCTTCACACACGGAACCGTTCCTCCTTTCCAGAGCACGTTCCCCTTTCTCGCATCTATCCTTTCTCGGCCTGGAGCACCGTTTCTGCCTTCTCTGTCCTTAAAGACACCACTAAACATCCAGCTCAAGGTCAGCACCTCGCTCTGAAGCAGGTAGCTTCAGTCGGCATGACACTGTACAGGGATTGGCAAACTTTACCCGAGGAGGGCCAGGTAGTCAATAGTTCAGGCTTTGGGGGCCACACTGTCCCTGCTGCAGGCACTCAACTCTGCTGTCATAGTTCAAGAGAAGCCGTAGACGAGACACGAGAAGGTGCAACTGACTGTGTATCAAAGAAACTTTACTTATAGACACTAAATTTGAATGTTACATCATTTTCATATGTCACAAAATAGTACATTTGTTTCAGCCATTTAAAAACGTGAAGAATACTCAGAGCTCAAGGGTCAAAAGCAGGCGGTGGGCTGAATTCGGCTCACAGGCTGTGGTTCACCAGCTCCTGGAGAGTCGGAAGAGGATCTTTTCCAAGCCCACCTCTCCTGTGTACTCGCCGTGTGACTTTGGAAACTCATTTCATCTCAGAGCTCAGTTCGCATTTGCGTAAGGAGAATTTAAAATAAGACGCTACATCTGAAGATGTACTCAATTTTTAAATGTCTAACACTGCCTATCCAAAGCTGGATCTTCAGCATTTTTTTTCATTCTGCCCTTTCCCCTTGCACTTATTACATTGTACTGTAAAATTTTATTTACATAGCTGTATGTGATTTCCAAATAATGATTTCCTTTTGAATACTGTTTCATCTGCAAGGCTTATGCAATATTTAGTCTAGAATGGGTGCTTCCTAGATGTTTGCTGAATGGATAAATTGACAAATGTACCTGTAATTGTAGATTTCTTATGGTCAGAGGCCATATGCTAATAGTTTCAGTGGAACCCCAGAAACTATCCAACGCCCTGGACCTCACTCCCTTTACTGCCGAAGCCCTGGACCTCACTCCCTTTACTACCGGGTTCTCATGGGGAAGAACGGGGGGAAGGACATCTTATCATGGTCCACCTGCTGACACCCACTCATGATGATAATCTCTCTGGAATTCTGCTTTCTTATCTCTGAGTAAGAGAATCGGGGCTGGGTGTGGTGGCTCACGCCTGTAATCCCAGCACTTTGGGAGGCCGAGGCAGGCGGATCATGAGGTCAGGAGATCGAGACCATCCTGGCTAACATGGGGAAATCCTGTCTCTACTAAAAATACAAAAAATTAGCCAGGCGTGGTGGCAGGTGCCTGTAGTCCCAGCTATTCGGGAGGCTGATGCAGGAGAATGGCGTGAACCTGGGAGGCGGAGCTTGCAGTGAGCCGAGATGGCGCCACTGCACTCTAGCCTGGGGACAGAGCAAGACTCTATCTCAAAAAAAAAAAAAAAAAAAAAAAAAAGAAGGAAAGAAAGAAAGAAAAGCAGAGAATGAGAATTGGGCATCCTAAGTTTCACTCGCGCCTGTGTGAAGAGACCACCAAGCAGGCTTTGTGTGAGCAACAAGGCTGTTTATTTCACCTGGGTGCAGGTGAGTTGAGTCCGAAAAGAGAATCAGCAAAGGGAGACAGGGGTGGGGCTGTTTTGTAGGATTTGGGTAGGTCGTGGAAAATTACAGTCAAAGGGGGTTGTTCTCTGGCTGGCAGGAGTGGGGGTCACAAGGTGCTCAGTGGGGGAGCTTTTGAGCCAGGATGAGCCAGGAGAAGGAATTTCACAAGGTAATGTCACCAGTTAAGGCAGGAACAGGCCATTTTCACTTCTTTTGTGATTCTTCAGTTACTTCAGGCCACCTGGATGTATACGTGCAGGTCACAGGGGATATGATGGCTTAGCTTGGGCTCAGAGGCCTCAATCTAAGATCCTTTTCAGACCTCCTTTTTCCATCAGTTCTTTCAGCAGTCAATTAAATAAGGTCTGTTAAATATCCTTCATGTTTTAGACAGAATGCTAGACTCTGAGGATGAATAAAACCTAACACTTGATTCCTGCCCTGGAGCAGCTTAGTGGAGGATGCAGCACTCACTGCAGAAAGTGACACAATGTTACGTGTGCGCAGGAGTGGCACCGAGACCGAGGTGTGCGCAGGAGTGGCACCGAGACCGTGGCCTGGAAGCGGGGATAGAGCTAATACCACCAGGACTGTTCCGTGTTGTTCGCAGAGGAGTTAGGCTGGGCCTTGAAACAGGGTCATGAGTTTGGTGAGGCAAAGAAGCGAGGGTGCAAGGTGCAAATAGAAATAGCAGCACTTCAGGCAGCAGGATAGGTATTTTAAATCATTAACACGTGAGAGTTAGCATTTGTGGGTCAGGTGAGTGCCCTGTGTCGGGGGAGGGGGTATGTGGTCGCTGAGGGTAGGGGGAGCATCGGGGGATGAAGCCAAAGATGGCTGCCAAGAAGGAAAGTCCTTTAATGAGCAGGCAACGGAGAACCAAGCAAGGCTTCCGAACGGGGGAGTAAAATAATCAGATCAGTGTTTCAGGTATTTCTCCAGGGGCAGAGTGAAGCTGTACTTGAAGGAGTACCAGATAGGGCAGAGCAGGGGTTAGGAGGCTCTCCATAGCCCAGGTGAGGGACGAGGTTCTGGTGATCTTTTTTTCCCTTTCTTTCCTTTTTGAAACAAGGTCTCTGTTGCTCAGGCTGGAGTACAGTGGCATGATCATAACTCACTGTAACCTTAAACTCCTGGGCTTGAGTGATCCTCCTACCTCAGCCTCCAAGTAGCTGGAGCTACAGGTGCACACTACCATGCCCAGCTAATTAAAAAAAAAAAAAAAAAACAATTTGTGGAGACTGGGTGTCACTGTGTTGACCAGGCTGGCCTCGAACTCCTGGCCTCAGGTAATCTTCCTGCCTTGGCCTCCCAAAGGATTACAGGCAGGAGCCACCGTACCCGGCCCATTGTCACTCTTGATCTCCAGGCATAACTTGGAGGGTGCTGCTGCCAGCAGCAAGTCCCTGTACTTCATTCCATCCAGATAAACCTACTTGCCTTTTTTCTAATAAGCCTTATTCAGTCATATCTTCAGTCTGAGATGCCACTTCCTATCATTTCTATCACTCAGGGGAAATTACAGAAAGGCTTCCTAGCTAAGGCAGCAGTTGTCCCCATTTTGATGTTTTATCTCCGGCACCTTATGTCTGTTATCCTAATTTTGCTTCCCCCAAACTTCAATCTGCAATCTTGGCTGGACTCTAGGAATTAAAGCCACAGAAGCTCGAGCTCGGGGAGAGCTTAGAGATCATTTAATCTGTCCTCCTAGAAGGAGAACACTGGGAATGTCAGAGACTCTCCAAAGGTCTCACATGTTGGAGGCAGAACCGGGACTAAGAAGCCAGGTCTGATTCTCAGCCCGGGTTGCTCTGCACCACGTAACACAGACTGCTCCGACTCTGCCGGGACCCCAGCATGACTCTACTTGGCCTTCTCACCATGGCTTTTTTGAGAGCAAGGGGACATGGGAATTGTCCTAAGGCCCTGGTGTAAGCATCATCACACAAACCTCCCATAATAAAAGCCTAAGAATTACCCAGATTTTCTGGTTTGGTTAGGCTGTTGCAAATACGGGGTTTTTGTTTGTTTGTTTGTTTGAGACGGAGTCTCACTCTGTCACCCGGGCTGGAGTGCAGTGGCGTGATCTCAGCTCACTGCAATCTCCGCCTCCCGGGTTCAAGTGATTCTCCTGCCTCAGCCTCCTGAGTAGCTGGGACTACAGGTGCCCGCCAACATGCCCGGCTAATTTGTTTTGTATTTTTAGTAGAGACGGGGTTTCACCATCTTGGCCAGGCCGGTCTCCAACTCCTGACCTCAAATGATCCACCAGCCTCAGCCTCCCAAAGTGCTGGGATTACAGGTGTGAGCCACCGTGCCTGGCCACAAATATTGTTGAGACTAAGTTTCCCTTGGAAGTAGAGATCTCAGGGCAGTGGTATTTGTTGTGCCATGACTTAACCTAGGCAGAATGTGTCTTCTGCGTATATTAGGTACTTTGAACATTACTAACTTCTAATTATTTTTATTATTTATCACTGTTCTCAGTAAAGTAAGACTTCATTACTTTGTAATACAGAATTTAGAAAGAGGCCATGGTGGTTTATTTTTCTATTATCTGCAAAGGAGTTGCTAATGAAATAGAGTTAACGAGATTGCTAGGAGAATATTTATGTTAATAAGAGAACAATGCGTTCAAGTGCAAAAACGTCAGAAGCACCTATTTATAGACAGACCGCTGTGGATACCTACTCACATGCCTCATCACGCTGCAAAGACAGCTTCCCCGGCCCCCCCGGTGCAGTGAACTAAGTGTCAGGTGTTAGCCCAGCTCCAGTTGCACTGTGCATGCAATGAGCATAGTGCGTGCTCTGCGTCAGGAACTGTGAGGATCCACTGGTAAAAAGACACCCACCCTTAGGGAACTCAGTCTGGTTGGAGTGGTCTAGATATATACCTGACAACAATAAAACTGTATTTCTAAAAGATAATATATATATATTTTTTTACTTAAAAAGAAAAGCCGGCCAGGTGCGGTGGCTCACACCTGTAATCCCAGCACTTTGGGAGGCAGAGGTAGGCAGATCACCTGAGGTCAGGAGTTTGAGACCAGCCTGGCCCACATGGTGAAACCCTGTCTCTACTAAAAATACAAAAAGTAGCCAGGCATGATGGTACATGCCTATAACCCGAGCTACTTGGGAGGCTGAGGCAGGAGAATCACTTGAACCAGGGAGGCGGAGGTTGCGGTGAGCTGAGATCATGCCACTGCACTCCAGCCTGGGCAACAAAAGCAAAACTCTGTCTTGGGGAAAAAAAAAAAAAAGCATGCATCTGACTTCACTATTTACAGCAGTCTTCCTATCCTTTTGCTTGCAATTTCCCTATTTCTTACTTTGCTAAATTATGAAATACCTACAGAAATTTATCCATTCATCCAATAACTATTATTGAGCATCTATATAGGCAGAGATACAGCAGTGAAGTAAACAACAATCCCTGCCTCCCTGAAGTTTATATTATTTGTTCTATTTTCTATAGATAAGAGATTTACTGTCCAGAACCAAAAAACCTGGTGGGCTTAGAATAAGGGAAGATCAACAGCTGGGATTTTACGTGGAAGGCCTGAAGTCGGTGCCCTGTGAGAACTATGCCCAAATTGAAAGGCTGATGGAACAAGGAACAAAAATAAGGACCACAGCTTCCACCAACATGAATGCCAGCAGCAGCCGGTCTCACTTGGTCATCACCATCCAGTTCAAGCAGGTGAGAGCTGAGTGGATGCCACTGTCCCGATCTCCAGACAAGGCCACTCTGCAGAAGGCTACCCCTGGTATAATGGGCTGGTGGGATCTCCACACAAGGCCGCTCTGTGAAAGGCTCCCCCTGCGGGAGGCTCCCCCTGGTGGGATCTCCACACAAGGCCGCTCTGCAGAAGGCTCCCCCTGCAGAAGGCTCCCCTTGGTGGGATCTCCACACAAGGCTGCTCCGTGGAAGGTTCCCCCTGGCATAATGGGCTGGTGGGTATTATAGGATCCTGCAGATTTGACCTATGGATGAAGGTGGCTTTTCCAACCACAGCATATAGAGCCAGAAACAGGAAAAGGGGATGTGTGTGCCCTTCTCCTGCCTCCCTCCCACTTCAATGGTCACACCCCACCCAGCCTAAGTGAGCCTACCAGAGGCCCAAAGTGCCCACAGGAGTAAGAGCTGTTTTCCCTCAAGTATATTCCGGTGCTTGGAGGAATAAGCTTTGACCTCAGTTTGATCAAGGAGCAAATTGTGAAGGTATGAGAGTGTCTCCATGGTTTATCCTGGAGAACTGTATCAGCAGCACATCTGTACATTACCACCATGAGACCAGCCTTCAGACCCACGAGCCTGAGGACCACCAGGTACTGAAGTACCCTTTCCATGTGTGGATGCACCAAGTTTTTTGTTTTTTTTGAAATGGAGTTTTGCTCTTGTTGCCCAGGCTGGAGTGCAATGGCACGATCTCGGCTCACTGCAACCTCTGCCTCCCAGGTTCAAGCAATTCTCCTGCTTCAGCCTCCCAAGTAGCTGGGACTACAGGCATGCACCACCATGCCTGGCTAATTTTGTACTTTTAGTAGAGACGGGGTTTCTCCATGTTGGTCAGGCTGGTCTTGAATTCCCGACCTCAGGTGATCTGCCCACCTCGGCCTCCCAAAGTGCTGGGATTACAGGCGTGAGCCACCGTGCCTGGCCGCACCAAGATAAGTTCTTTGGAACCAAGCAATGCATATAGCATTCCACTAACTAGAATCTTTGATCAACTAGAGCACACTTTGATTCTCCATACCAGTACCTTGGTGGACATCAGAGAGTGATCGCTACAGTGCCACCAATTTGATCTAGAAATGGCTATTCACAAATCCTGGGTCAATGTTACACGTAGCTATGATCCTACCACCTCTGTCCCATAAGTCATAGTACCAGTAATAGAACAGTAATCAATGAAAAGAATCCCGTTCTATGCAGGAATAAGGGGAAAACACGGGACTGTGTTGAAGTCTGGATGCCTCTGTTCACCAGCTCTAAGACTTTGGGAAATAGCCTCTGAGCCTCAGTTTCCTCTTCTGTAAGACGAGACGAGACACTGTCCTTGCAGTAACGTCAGGAAGCTTGAATAAGATAGTGCATTTTAAGGAACTTTGTAAACTTTTAAGTACTAGTCACTTGATTTCACAATGTTAGTACAATTCATCAACTTTATATATGGTTTGTCCTGCTGGTTTTTTAACTTGATATTTTAGAGGCAAGTGAAGAAATAGCTAGGAAAAAAGGAGTGACGAGAGAAGAGAGCTAGCACCGTACTCTGTTTATTGGGGTCAGTAGTGATATTAACACCTGATATTGTATGCCAGGCATGTGCTAGAACCATTACCTCTACGATCTTTAACCCTCATAACATCTCAGGAATGTGTTTCTATCACTGGTTTACCACTGTGAAAGTTGAAACTCTGAAAAGGTAAGTCATTTGCGCATAGTCATGGAGCCAGCAAAGGAATCCGTAGGATTCCGAAGTAGGTGTTCTTTCCACATGACCACACAGTCCTGAACATCTACTTATTTTGCAGATTTCATAGTCTTATATTTTAAGAATGTATTGATCGTAGAAATAATGGAGCACTAATTGGTATCTACTGTCTTATTGGAAAGGAGATTTACAGAATTGGGAAGAGGAGACAGACATTTTATTGTAAACGTCATTGTAGAGAATGGCATTTTATGTTGCAGATTTTATGTTTTTTCAGTCTGAAATACAATGAAAAGAACTACTTAAGGCCAGGCACGGTGGCTCATGCCTGTAATCCCAGCACTTTGGGAGGCTGAGGGGGGGTGGATTGCTTGAGATCAGGAGTTCGAGACCAGCCTGGACAATATGGTGAAACCCTATCTCTACTAAGGATACAAAAATTAGCCGGGTGTGGTGGCGGGCACCTGTAGTCCCAGCTATGCAGGAGGCTGAGGCAGGAGAATCACTTGAACCTGGGAGGCGGAGGTTGCAGTGAGCCAAGATCATGCCACTGCACTCCAGCCTGGGAGACATAGTGAGACTCCGTCTCAAAAAAAAAAAAAAAAAAAAAGGCCACTTAACATGTCAAGGGGAGTGCCCGCCCATGCAGCCTGCCACGTCCCTAATACTGTGGCATCACCTGTGACGCTTTTCTCCAGGTTTTCCTAGACAGAGATCTCACCAAACAATCCAGTATTAATTTGGTGGACCTGGCAAGAAGTGAGAGGCAGAAATCTTCAGGATCTGAAGGAGACAGACTGAGGGAAGGATCGTGCGTTAACTTAAGTTTAACCAATTTGGGAAGTGTTATCAGGTAAATAATCAGTGGACAGGTATTTGTGTTATAAAAACGACCTCAGGTATGAAAAACTGGATTAATGATAACCCTTGGTTCATGATCCGCTGGCATCACTGGCTCATGCCTGGGCTGCCTATATTTATTTTAAACCAATTACTTTATTTTTCAATAGAGTAACACTAATAAAACTGCCATCCAACCCAAGAACTAGCTGGTGTTCCTCTCCTATGCTCCCCTTGGAGGTAACCATCGTCTTGAATTTTATGTTCTCTCCCCCTCAGCTCCCTCCTTCCTGGTTTTATCACATGTGAATATTATTGTTTAGTAGCTCTCATTTTTGAACTTTATAAAAAGGAAATTCCATTTTGTCTTCTGGAACTTCTTAAAATTTTCTCATTAAGGTATAAACTACAGTAAAGTACATAAATCCTACACATTCAGCACAATAAGTTTGTATAGATGTATATACCTCCATAATTATCATCCAGATCAGAATATAACACATTTCCAAAACCCACCCAGCTCTTCATACTCCCTCCCAGTTGACACTCCCACCAGAAGAAATGGACCTTTGTCATTATAGATTAGATATGCCTAATTGTAGTGATTTTCGTATAAATGCAATCATTTATATT
Organism: Homo sapiens; assembly: GCF_000001405.40. Lineage (NCBI taxonomy): Eukaryota > Metazoa > Chordata > Mammalia > Primates > Hominidae > Homo > Homo sapiens. The sequence continues at coordinate 246,806,600 of NC_000001.11, read as the reverse complement.
AGGTCACGGCTTAACCTTCTGGCTTCTTTCACCAAGGATTGTGTCTATGATATTAATCAAAGTTGTTTCATGTACCAATTATTATTTTCATTGTTATGCAATATATCAGCGTATGAATATATCATAATTTATTTATCCATTCTCCAACTGATGGGCATTTAGCTTATTTCCAGGTTTGGGCTGTTTTAAAGTTGCTGTGAACGTTTTTATATGTGTATTTTGGGGAAAATAGTCACTCATTTTTCTTGGGTATGTAGGCAGGAGTAGAACTGCGAGGACTTGCTTTTAGACTCAACACTATTAACAATATCTATCCACACTATGTTATACCTAGAGTGAGTTTTCCATTCTTTCACTGAACATTGCCTATGAGATTCTTCCATGTTGTTGCATGTAGCAATCATTGTTTTTCATTGTTGCATAGCATTCCATAGTGGGAATGTGCCACAATTTATTCATTCTCGATTGGCATTTTGATTGTCCCCACTTTGTTTTTTGCTATTATAAGTAGTGCTATTATGAACATTCCTGTGCAAATCACTGGGTATTACCACAGTCATGCACCGCTTAACAATGGGGATATCGGCTGGGCGCGGTGCCTCACGCCTGTAATCCCAGCACTTCGGGAGGCTGAGGCAGGTCGATCACCTGAGGTCGGGAGTTCGAGACCAGCCTGACCAACCTGGAGAAGCTCTGTCTTTACTAAAAATACAAAATTAGCCAGGCGTGGTGGTACATGCCTATAATCCCAGCAACTCGGGAGGCTGACGCAGGAGAATCACTTGAACCCGGTAGGTGGAGGTTGCAGTGAGCCGAGATCACGCCATTGCACTCCAGCCTGGGTGACAAGAGTGAAACACAGTCTCAAAAAAACAAAACACAACAAAACAAACAAACAACAACAACAAAAACAATGGCAATATGGAGGCCAAGGTGGGCAGATTACTTGAGCCAAGGAAGTTGAGACCACCATGGGTAACGTGGCGAAACCCCGGCTCTACAAAAAATTTAAAAATTAGCCAGATGTGGTAGTGCCTGCCTGTAGTCCTGTTTACTCAGGAGGCTGAGGTGGGAGGATCACTTGAGTCCAGGAGGCAGAGGTTGCAGTGAGCTGTGATTATGCCACTGCACTCCAGGCTGGGTGACACAGTGAGGCCCTGGCTCAAAACAAAACAAAACAAACAAAAAGCCAATGGGAATTTGTTCTCAGAAATGCATCAGTAGGCGGTTTTGTTGTGTAAACATCATAGAGTGCACTTACGCAAACCTAGACGGCGTTGCCTACAGAGCACCAAAGCTATTTGTGGTAAAAGATTGCTCCCGGCTGAGCTTATACCACAGTGTAGCATGTAACTGTGCTGAATCCCACAGGCACCTGTAACATAACAGTAAGTACTTGTATATCTAAACATAGAAAAGATACAGTAAAAATACGGTATTTTCATCACGGCTGTGTATACAGCCTGTCGTTGACCAACACATGGTTATGGGATGTATGACTGTATTGAAGTTTGAGTATAGACAATAACTAAAATTGTTGGGTTAGAAGGTGTATGAATACCCAATTTGGAAAGATGTTAACAAACTTTTCCAAAATAGTTGGACCAATTTACATTCCCAGCAGCAATGTATTAGATATCGGATTGATCTACATCTTTTCTAAGACTTGATGTTATCAGATTTCTTTATATTTACCAATTAAATTGGTGCAAATAAATCTTACTATGGTCTTGATATTCCTGGTTACTAACGAGTTTAAGCATCTTTATGTGTTTCTTAGCAATATATTTCCTCTTGCAATGCCTGTTATTTTTTTCTATTATTCTCTTGAGTCATTGCCTTTGTATTGGCTTGTAGGCATTCTTTACATATTATTCTTTTCTCAAGTAAAAGTATTGTAAGTATCTCTCCCAGTTAGTAGCTTGTCTTTCCACTTTAAGGTGTTTGCTGATGAGCAGAAGTTATGATTATGGTTTATGCTTTGCATTTGTTTCCTGTTTAAGAAAATTAGAGTTAGAAAGGTAACCACCTATATTACATTAAGTTCCTATCGGTCCGGAGTTGATTTCTGTGTTTGATGTAAGGTAGGCATCCTTTTCATCCTTTTTCCTTATAGATTACCAATCTTTCCAGTTTCATTTGTTGAGTAGTCCCTCCTTCCCCCAGTGATCGTCTATATGCTTTTCGCTTTTTTTTTTTTGAGACAGAGTCTTGCTCTGTCACCCAGACTGGAGTGCAATGGCGCGAACTCCATTCACTACAACCTCTGCCTTCCAGGCTCAACCGATCTTCCCGCCTCGGCCTTCTGAGTAGCTGGGATTACAGCGTGCACCACCATGCCCAGCTAATTTTTGTAGCTTTTGTAGAGATGGGGTTTCACCACGTTGCCCAGGTTGATCTCGAACTCCTGGGCTCAAGTGATTCTCCCTCCTCGGCCTGCCAAAGTGCTGGGATTACAGGTGTGAGCCACTGTGCCCGGCTAATATATACTTAACTCTGTTTCTTGGCTCTTAAATCTGTGGTCAAAGTCTAAATGTAATAAATCCTCCTGGATAATACAAGACTCTTCATCCTACATATGTCATTGTTATGTATTTCTTTCTTATGTATTTCAATTCCATTCTTCCTTCACCCAAAAGACATTATCACTGTTTTACACAGTGTTCATTCACATTTATCTTTTTTTAAATGTATTCATTCTTGTACCTCAGAGCTGCTATCCAAGATCAGTTTCCTTCTGGTTGAAGTGTATTATTCAGGGTTTCCTTTAGTGATAATCTGCTGGTGGCAATCTGTTTTTGTTAGGTTGAAATATCTTTATTTTTACCTCATTTATTTTTTTGAGACAGGGTCTCACTCTGTCACCCAAGCTGGAGTGCAGTGGTACAATCACAGCTCACTCCAGCCTCTACCCCACCAGGCTCAAGCAATCCTCTCACCTCAGCCTCCCAAGTAGCTGGGACCACAGGCGTGTTCCACCACATCCAGATGATTTTTGTATTTTTTTGTAGAGACAGGGTTTCTCCACGGTGCCCAGGCTGGTCTCAAACTCCTAAGCTCAAGCTATGCTCCCGTCTTGGTCTCCCAAAGTGCTGGGATTGCAAATGTGAGCCTCCGCGCCCAGCCGGCTCATTCTTAAAAAGACATTTTTGCTGGGTATGGAATTTTAGATGGGTAGTAGTTTCTTTCCACACAGAAAGAATTCTATTGTCAACTGGTTGTCTAACTGCTTTTTCTTGAAGATAATCTGTCTTTTTTCCCCAGCTGCTTTTAAGTTTTTCTCTTTGTTTTTGGTGTTCTCCAGTTTCACTATGTTGTTGCATCCGAGTGTAAACCTATTTCTTTTCCTCCTCTTTGGAAGCCCTTGGCCTTCATGACTTTATGGAGTAGTGATTTTTTTTTTTTTTTTTTTTTTTGTGACGGAGTCCCTACCCAGGCTGGAATGCAATGGCACAATCTTGGCTCACTGCAACCTCCGCCTCCTGGGTTCAAAGGATTCTCCTGCCTCAGCCTCCCGAGTAGCTGGGACTACAGGTACGCACCACCACGCCCGGCTAATTTTTTTGTATTTTTAGTAGAGACGGGGTTTCATCATGTTGGCCAGGCTGGTCTTGAACTCCTGACCACAAGTGATCTGCCCACCTCAGCCTCCTGAAGTGCCGGGATTACAGGATTACAGGCTGAGCCACCGTGCCCGTCCTGTTTGTGGTTATAATTTCTCACGGGTGGGATTTCCCTGCACTCTTCCCCGCTCTCTTCAGTGCCAACACTGCTTTCTTTGTGGCCCCTGGAGCAGGGCAGGGGCTTCTCACTCACCCCTATCCTGAGGCTGTGGTCCTAACTTTATGGGATCTTAAGGCAGCATGAGAGAGAGAGGCAAGAAAAGACCCTAAAACTACCCCCCAAACCTATCTGCACACTGTCAGGCCTGGCACCTCCTTCCTTGAATTGCAGCTCATTCTCTACACACAAACTATGGTAGCCTGCAGGCTCTTCGAGTTTTCCTCGCAGGTGTGGGTGTGTTTGTTCCTCAGACCTGGGCTTCCTCCTCTAGGTTATGGCTTCTCTACGGTTGATTTCGGAGGAGTCAGGCCCGTGGTTAGCTAGCTTACTCCAGCATCGATGACAGAAGGCATCTCTACTGTTGGATATGATCGTCAGGCTTATGGGGCCAAAGAGGGGATGTGGGAGCCATTTCCAACTCATCCCACGGGAGGTGGATTTCTTCTTGAGGCATTCTTTTTCTGTCTTGAATCTTCTTTTTCTTTCAGTGTTCTGGCTGACGCAGCTATGGGGAAGAAGGTCTTGCACATTCCATACAGAGATTCTGTTCTGACCAAACTGCTCCAGTCAGCTCTGGGTGGGAACAGCAGAACCGCTTTGGTAAAATAGCTTTTCTTACAACATTTCACACGGATTCTGCTATTATAGTTGTTGTTGCTGTTGTGATTAAATTATTCCCAATACACCTGTCATATAACACAGGACTTTGCATTGACCTAGCCTAGCAATTTTTTTTTTTTTTTTTTTTTTTTAGACGGAGTCTCGCTGTGTCGCCCAGGCTGGAGTGCAGTGGCGCAGTCTCGGCTCACTGCAAGCTCCGCCTCCCAGGTTCAAGCGATTTTCCTGCCACAGCCTCCCGAGTAGCTGGGGCTACAGACGCATGCACCTGGCTATTTTTTTTTCTTTTTAGTAGAGATGGGTTTTCACTGTGTTGGCCAGGCTTGAACTCCTGATCTCAGATGATCCACCTGCCTCGGCCTCTCAAAGTTCTGGGATTACAGGCATGAGCCACTGCACCTGGTCTTGTTTGGTTTCCCCCTCAGGACTAACAAATGATGACCTACCATTATCTTGTAACTTCTGGTACTCTAGTACAATGTTCAAACAATGTTTCTGTATTACTAATTTTTAAATTTATTCTTTTCTGTAGTTTAAGTTCTCTACAAGGAATATATGTTACTTTTATTATCAGGAAAAAAACTAGTACCATTAAAAAAAAAAAAACAACTAGCAATGTCATGTTATTCTAAGTTAGCAGTCATCCCCGGCAAGGCTGGAAATCAGTGTGACTGTGTGTTCACCCTGGAGAGCAGCTGCACCGCGTTATCTCAGCAAAGGCTCTGGAATCCCATTATTGAATGTTTGCCAAGTGGGTACAGTGTGGAATGTGTTAAAATCAGGACTCTGCTCTTCTGCTTCAGCTGCAGGGAGGGACAAAATGGGGTGAACTCTGCCCCCAGCCTGGCGCTGGCCTCCACTCTGCTGTCCTGCTTAGGAGAGAAATGCTCCCTGTCGGGACCAGTTACATGCATTTCTCTCCAAAATCCACAGTAAAACACAACCTTACTCTTTATCACTCAATCCTGACCAGTTTCAATACTTCATTTTAAAGTTTTTCTGGTTGTCAGTTACCTGTGGGCCTCAACAGGACATCTCCCCAAAAACCTGGGACACAAGAAGGCCTGTAAGATGCTCTTTGAACGTTAACCTACAACATTCAACCTAGCGGGTCTCAGCAGATGTGTGCCAAGCCACCGAGACGCCCAGACCTGCAAGACTTGACAGGGGCTGCCTGAGGGCAGTGCAGTGCTTTCACAAAGGAGCGTGCTTGGGAGAGGCCGAGGGTGGGTATCCATCATCTCAGGAACCCACAAGCTTTAACAAAGGAGTGTGCTCAGGAGTGGCCGAGGGTGGCATCCATCATCTCAGGAACCCGCAAGCTTTAACAAAGGAGCAGGCTGGGGAGAGGCAGAGGGTGGCATCCATTATCTCAAGAAGCAAAGAGAACAGAGAACCTGCAAGGCCGACAGCCAAGCTCTCCAGTCTCTATGGCGCCAATCCCAGTTTTAACACAAATGTCTTACAGCCTTAATTTTTAGTGGTGATAAAAATCCACCTGAAAATATTGCCATGATGATTAAATGAGATGGCGTAACCGAACAAGCTTTAAAAGCTGTGAAGTTAGACAAATGTAAATAATTACTTCCTGGGCTCCCAGAGCTCTGGGTCCCGGGCCTCCCAGCCCACAGAGGATGTGCTGCCACATGGCAGCTGCCACAGCCACCCTCAGCCACCCTCCCCAGCCATCCTCAGTGACCTGCCCACCCAATCATCACTAAGTTTGCTTCTGAGTTGAAAACTTTTCTGAATTCTGGAACAATCAATCCAAAGTCAAGGCCAGGCACAATGGCTCATACCTGTAATCCCAGCAATTTGGGAGACTGAGGTGGGCATATCCCTTGAGCCCAGGAGTTCAACGCCAGCCTGGGCAACACAGAGAGACCCTGTCTCTACAAAAAACACAAAAATTAGCCGAGTGTGGTGGTGCATGCCTGTAGTCCCAGCTACTCTGGAGGCTGAGGCAGGAGGACCACCTGAGCCCAGGAAGTCAAGGCTGCGAGCCATGATTGCTCCACCACACTCCAGCCAGGGTGACAGAGTGAGACCCTGTCTCAAAAAAATGTAAGTATAAATAAAGTCAACAGCCAGGCTTGAAACCATACAAGTGGCTGTCACAAAACGAGCAAGGTCTCTGTGAGACTAACATTCAACCGTCACTCAGGCCCCTGAGGGAGTCCACGGAGGACTCAGTCCCAAGGGCGGTCAGTCTCACAGCTGGCAGCACAGGTATGAGTTAGGCAGGGGTGGGTTCGAGCCCCAGCTCAGCAAGTGGCCTCAGGCATTCCTCTAAGCCACCATTTCTAAACTGTAAATTTGGAACAATATCATAAATTACAAGATGCCAAACTGCCCTGTGAATACGAGCTGCTTTAATAACAATAAACTCCTCTATAAGTAACAAAGTCTGAAAGGGCTGTTTTCACAGATCGCAGCCGTAAGTCCAGCTGACATCTGCTATGAGGAAACTCTATCAACATTGAGATATGCGGAAAGGTACGTCTGTGAATATTTATCATCCATGGTGGTTCTACGTTCTAAATCTAGCAAAGTCTGTCAGTGCTCTTAGACTGCAGGGGTTGCCATTGGGAAGGGGGTCCAGGAGGAAAACAAAACGACCTGAGAGAGAGGAATGAAAGGAACTAAAACACGAGGGAAAGAATGGAGACCCGGAGCCTCAGGGCAGGGCTGTGTCACTGGGTCCTGGATGGGAGCAGAACTGGGGGCTCAGGGATGGGGGCGGCACGGATGCTGGTCCTGATGTGATTGGTTTGATCTGTCCCTGTATTTTCCTGCCGAATAGCACGGCTATTCACAGCTTTCTCCTTTTGTCACACAGGGCGTGGTGCCAGACAAGGGGATTTTTGTGCTAATGACAAATGAAGATGAGCTCTGTAAGCGACAGCGCCTCGGTCAGAGCCACTCGCTGGGCAGCCCTGCAGCCCCTGCACAGACCAGCTCTCCACACTGTCAGTTACCGCACTTCCCAGGGTCCACTCTGCACACTGCAGTCTGTGGAGGTGGCCTGATGGCCGCAGGAGTCACCAGGGAGGGAGGGGCTGTCACTGCCAGGTTCCTTCCCACCCACCTGGCTGGGAGACAGGTCCACTTGGTCAGCACTACGGGAGGCTGTCACCAAGCCGAGTTCCTGCTCCTCGGCCTCTGCAGCTCGTACCAAGTCTGCTCTCCTGAACCTTCTAAGAAAGGGAGGTGTGGGGAGAGGAGAGTCTGTGGCCATGGTAGGACCGTCCCCACATGCTGCCTACCCCTCCTTAGGCGAAGGCCGGCCTTGGGAATCCACCAGCCCAGCTCCCCACCGAGTCCGGGCAGGAGACTGGGACTGTCAGGCCTGGTTCTGGGCAGCTGGAGTTGGCATGTGAGGTGAAACTTACTTGCCAGCCCTGATATGTCATTCACCAGGTCTATGGGCTTAGAGGTCAGACAGAGTCTGGCCCTAGCAGCTGTGACCACGGGCAAGAAATAGAACCTCTCCCCTATCACCTGTTACACTGAGCCAGCATTCCTCATTCACAGCGCTGGGGAGAGGACCACAGGAGGTCATGTGTGAACTGTGCCTAGCAGAGTTCTGCCTGGTGTGTGAGTGAGGCTTGGGAACTGTGGTTATGACTGTGCCACCCAGGAGCTGCCTCCCGTTCTGGTCTTTTCTCTGGCCCTCTTCTCAGCACAGCAACACTTGCATGTTGGTGACAAATGTCTTCCTTCTCATTCCTCACTGCACAGCCTCGGTATTGTGGCACACCATGAGGCATTTTCTTCCAGCATCTGACACAAGCTCAGGTTTTATGTTTATTTTCTGAGATAGGGTGTCACCCTGTCACCCAGCTTGGGGTACAGTGGCACAATCATGGCTCATGGCATCCTCAACCTCCCAGACTCAAGTGATCCTCCCTCCTCGGCCTCCCAAAGTACCAGGATTACAGGTGTGAGCCACCATGCCCAGCCCAAGCTCAGAGCTTTAGATCGAATTTTGCCTTAAGCAGTATCCAGAACGTTTGTTTTCTCCCTGCTTATCAGATGCAAATCTGTTGCTCCCAGTTTTTACACAAGAGACCATGTGATACAGAGGAAAGAGAAAATGGTGCCCGCGGCCCGTGGGACTTGTAAACTCTGATTCCATCTCCCCTGTGTAAAACGAAAGGGGTACAGTTACCAGATTTAGCAAATAAAAATACAAGGTGCTTGGTTACATTGAAATTTCAGAGAACAAGGCATGTTTTACTGTATATCCCATGCACTATTTGGGGGCATCTGTTTTCTCTGACGACATCGGAAGGAGTGACCTAGAACACCTCTGAGGCTCCTCCCAGCCTGGCGCAGGCGCAGAGCTGAGCCTCCGGACAGCCTCCAGGCCAGGAGTTAATTTCAGCAGCCACAGGGATTGGGCAGGTTCTTAGGTTAACCAAGTCAGCCCAATTGGCTGACTGTGTTCAGGTCCCAGGACACGTCAGGGGCTGAGGTCCGGGCTGGCTGAGCTGCACGTGTTTATTTGAACTGTGCAGGCGATTCAAGTCACTTTGGTCTTAATGGTTGAATGGAACCAGACCTGGTGCGGAATCTCAAGTCATCTGGCGGGGAGGGGGGCGGGGGGAGACCTGAGTGTGCCCTGGGGGTGCTGCTGCTCCAGCAAGGGGCTCCAAGCCTAAGAGTGTGTCCATCTTTGCACATGAAAGGGCTTAAAAGATCCGGAACAGAGCAGTGGCCAACACCTGGACACTGATGAGAAAGTCAAGGGCGGAGAACAGCAAGCTGCTGCCCTGATGCAGAAACTCCATAATGTCAGGTAAACCGAGTCAGGGGCCGATGCCCTGAGCAACGGGGGGGTCTGACCTGGCCGAAGCCTGGGGCCGGGGGTGGAGGGAGCACCTGGATTTGAATCTGAGGGGTGGCTGGGGCACAGTGGGGAGCACTGGGGCTTTGTCCAGGATATTGTGGTTCCATCCTTTTAAAAAAAAACTTTGAGATAAACGTAGACTCACTTGCAGTTGTGAGGAATAATAGCCCTGCATTTTAAGATGGTTATCTTACTCTCATTTTTTTTTTCTTTTTTTGAGACAGAGTCTTGCTCTGTCACCCAGGGTGGAGTGTAGTGGCACAGTCTCGGCTCACTGCAACCTCCACCTCCCAGGTTCACGCCATTCTCCTGCCTCAGCCTCCCGAGTAGCTGGGATTACAGGCGCCCACCACCACGCCTGGCTAATTTTTTGTATTTTTAGTAGAGACAGGGTTTCACCGTGTTAGCCAGGATGGTCTCCATCTCCTGACCTCGTGATCCACCCGCCTCGGCCTCCCAAAGTGCTGGGATTACAGGCCTGAGCCACCGTGCCCGGCCCTTACTCTCATTTTTATTGACATTTTATTTATTTAGTATTTGAGACAGGGTCTGCTCTGTCACCCGGGCTCGAGTGCAGAGGTGTGATCACCACTTACGACAGCCTCAAATCTCCTGGGCTCAAGTAATCCTCCTGCCTCGGCTTCGAGAAGTGCTGGGGTTACAGGCGTGAGCCACCGCGACAAGCCTCATTTTTATTTTGAGAACATTCTTTCTCCCAGGATGTTTTTCCTTACCAGATTTGGACAGTGGCCACCTGATGTCTGCCCGCTGAGGGCTTCCTGCGGAGAGATGACGCTGGAAGCCCATGGAGGGTTGGCCACCTCCAGCAAGACAGAGCTCCACCCTGGCTGTGCATCCCAGCCACCTGGTGACAGGGCTCCGCCCAACCTCAGAAACCAGAATCCCGGGCAGCCGTCAGCGCTAAAGGGCCCCAGGTGGTTCCAACGTGCGCAATTATCGAGAACCCCTGTGATAGGTACAGACCTTCAATTGCAGTTTGGCAGCATAAAGATATATATCGTTTTATGCTCATTAATGATTTAAAATGAGATGAAAAAAAGGTAAAATAAAACTACTGAGGTGAAATTGGCATGAACGTCCGGTATCAAAGCAGCAATATCGAACGGTCTCCCTCCCTCCTGGGGACCCTCGAGTAGTGGCAGAACCTCCTGCGCCCCATGCCCTACCCATCATGCCAGGCTACCCAAAGGCTCAGACAGAGGGTGGGCCAGCCCCGAGCCCCACCTGGCCCATTCCCAGGCACACGACCCGACTCGCTGAGGCTTCAGCCTCAACAAAGCGCTCCCTAAATCAGAATCGGTGCACACGTGTGTGTGACTGGCCTGGGCCTGGCTCTGCCTGTCACAAATCTCCGTACCATCAAAAACTGGACATGCCAGATGTGGACCTACGCGTAGCACCTAACCCCCACTGCTCTCAAGCACAGACACGGACTATGTGGAAAACAGTGTAAGCCTATGATTCTTCCCGAATCCCCCGACCCCATGGCAATTCCCTGTAGCAAGGAATCACATGAAACGCCCTCACAAGCCTGAGCAAGTACAAAAATAAGAGACAGAACACTGAACTCATGCCTCCCCCTTAAAGGACCTTCTTGCACTAACGTCTTACGAATTAGGAGGGGAATTAAAAGTCCTCTTTGTAGGACTTACCGAAAGATCTCGTCTTCACGCATAAGTGTGCTGCATTCCTGCTGCTGCCGGGATCCTGGGCTTTGAGAACAGAGCCAGAGACACACTAGCTATCCCGTGACTCCCCCTGGCACCGCAGACCCGCCGCTTAAAATGCCTCCCTCCTTCCAGAGCCGTCGGCCTGTCTCCAGGCAGAGCAGCAGCTGGGGACTCCTGATCAGGTGACCTGGGCACACCTGCTGGAGAGGGCCCAGGTGAGCTTCACCTCCGCCACCTGCGGAGGCTGAGCCCAGGGCAGGGGGCCAGGCACAGGCTGCAGTCTGGCTGGCCAGGCCCGACTGTGGCGAGGCTTTTTTGGTGAATGTGTAATGTGTGACTGGTAATGATGCTACTGGCAGAGCTAGGGAGAGAACATCAGGGCATGCCAGCGAGGGAAACGGGGAGGACTCGGGGCCTGGCAGGGCGTAAGGCCGGGTGTCTATCCTGGCATTCGCTGATGATATCACACCCTAAATGGGCTGTGATTGAATTTCGGCCTCCCCTGGCCACCCCGGCTTCCACCCCACCCCACTCCCCGTGGCCACGAGGCCCTGGGAAAATCCCAAAGTTGAGGATCAGACCTGGAGTACTAGGGGACTGGAGCTGGGGATTCCGGAACCTCATACTGCCTAACTACGGCCTCAGGGCCTGGGGGGTGGAGCAGGGTGGGGTCTGTGGCATCAGGAAACCAGACAGTTAGGGCTGTACTGAGTCACGTTCTGTGTAAGTGGTGGCTGGGACTCTCAGCTTCAAGGGTCAAGTAAGGTCACATGGAGGAATACGGGATTTTGGGTTCTGCATATACAGTAAAAATTGGAAGGGTTTTTGCCCTCTTTACTCTTTGTCAGAGAGGATTTCAAGCTGTAAAAGTCTTCCTCGTGGCTGCATAATCATCCCCGTTCTGTTTACTGTCAAATCCCTACGCCACAACAATCCTTGTGTGGACGAATGACATGTTCAGGTTGCCAGGCGAGGGTTCGTGCCATACCCCACTTTTTGCCATCAACATCTGATTCTCAGCCAGCCAGCAGCACTTCGGGAGAATGAGAGGCTGCATGGAGACATGGGGAGGGGCTGCCCAGGCAGGGGACCAGAGCGGGGCATGCAGACAGCTGGGGAGGGCAGCCGGGAGACAGCTCCTTGGAACTGTCCAGTCCAGATGTACTCAGACTCCTGACGGCTGGCCTGCCTGAGACTCCACCCCACCATCAGCAATGCCCCAGCCCCTCTCAGCTTTCCTCCCTCCCCAGGAGGGTTGACAAGGTGCACAGAGACGGGAAAGAAGTGTTGCTCTCCCCAGTGGGCTGGTGCGGACTGGTGACACCCAACCCTCTCCACTTCTCCTGCAGGAGCGGCAGATGATGACCTTCCCTCACCTTCTTAACCTCAGCGAGGACCCTCAGCTCACCAGGGTGCTCAAGTACTTCATTCAAGCTGGTACTCAGCCGGCCCCCTGCCCCCGCCCTGCCCTCTCCCCACCCCACCCTCCTGCCTTCCCCTGCCCCAACCCTGCCCTCCCCCTGCCCCTGCTCTCCCCTCCCTGCCCTTCCCCTCCCCCTTCCCTTTCCGTGTCCTTCCCCTCCCCCTTCCTTTCCCTGCCCCCGCCCTGCCTTCTCCCCACCCTGCCCTCCCCCTGTGCTCCCCCTGCCCCTGCCCTGCCTTCTCCCCACCCCGCCCTCCCCTACCCTCCCCCCGTCCCCGCCCTTCCCATGCTTCTTGCCCCACAGGCATGTTTCTTTTCTTTCTTGTTTTTTAAATATTTTTCATTTTGGTAAAATATACATAAAGTTCATTTGAACCATTTTAAGAGTACAGCTCAGTGGCATAAAGTACATTCATATTGTGTGACCATCACCACCATCCATCTGCAGTACATTTTCATCTTCCCAGACGGAAACTCTGTACCCATGAAACGGGAGCTGCCCCTCCCCCTCCAGCCCTGGGAGCCACTGTCCCACCTTCTGTCTCTGTGTGTTTGACAGTGGGGGGACCTCAGATAACCCCTCCCCCTCCAGCCCTGGGAGCCAGTGTCCTACCTTCTGTCTCTGTGCGTTTGACGATGGGGGGACCTCAGATAACCCCTCCCCATCCAGACCAGCAGCCACTGTCCCACCTTCTGTCTCTGTGTGTTTGAGGATGGGGGACCTCAGCTAACCCCTCCCCCTCCAGCCCTGGGAGCCAGTGTCCCACCTTCTGTCTCTGTGCGTTTGACGATGGGGGGACCTCAGATAACCCCTCCCCATCCAGCCCTGGGAGCCAGTGTCCCACCTTCTGTCTCTGTGTGTTTGAGGATGGGGGGACCTCAGATAACCCCTCCCCCTCCAGTCCAGCAGCCACTGTCCCACCTTCTGTCTCTGTGCGTTTGACAATGGGGGGACCTCAGATAACCCCTCCCCCTCCAGCCCTGGAAGCCAGTGTCCCACCTTCTGTCTCTGTGGATTTGACGATGGGGGACCTCAGATAAGGACCTTTTCATCCATCTCTCACTGGCTTATGCCCTCAGCAGAATGTCCTCAAGGTGCATCCATGTAGCATGTGTGAGAATTTCCTTCCTCTTGAAGGCTGAAAACCATTCCCTCGGATGTATACAGCACGTTTTATTCATCTATTATCCTGGCATCGTTCTTGTTACATTTTTGTTTAGCGGTTTCTGAGGAGGGCATCAGCTGTTGAATTGTCTTCCTGACCTAAATGAGTGCTGAACAGGTTGGAACACAGCGCCCAGAACCGCAGGAGCCCCTGGCTTCCCCTCCCCGGCTGTGCACCCCCAGGACGGCCGCGAGGGCTCCGTGCACCCCCAGGACGGCCGCGAGGGCTCCGAGCACCCCAAGGACGGCCGCAAGGGCTCCGTGCACCCCCCAGGGCCGCCGCGAGGGCTCCGTGCACCCCCCAGGGCGGCCGCGAGGGCTCCGTGCGAGATGGCCGTGGGATGTGGGGATGTGGGGGGTGACATGTCTGCACTCCTTGGGGTCAGTCACTACACAGAAACGGAGCTTCAAACACCAGAACCTCTGCTGTGGCCAGTATTCAGTGGGTCTCCTAAGGCCCAGACCTAATGGTGTCTTCCTCCAGAATGCTCATGAAGAAGGTGGAACTTTTTAAAAGTTAGGAACATCCCCGCTCTTCCCCCCACACACAAGGCAGAAAGAAAAGTATGTCTAAGTACCATTATGATTGAAAATCCCAACTGGAAAAATCCCTTCAGTACCATCCCACTGTAGAGAAAACGTCACTTCCAACGCATCAGACATGTTAACTTCTTACGCTCAAATTCTGAAAGTGTCTGATTTATTTTCAAAATAAATTATATCTTGATTCCTTTCAGGTTCATGTGGCACCGGTCAGGCTGCCTCAAATGCTATCACGATTCAAGGTTTGGGGTGAGTTTCCATGATCAGTGTCCTCGTCCAGCATTAGAGAATTGTGCCTCCTCCATCTAGAGGTCTGCAGAGCCACACAGTCTGCAGGACAAGCAGGGACACTGCCCAGGTCTCCCCGGGCCACCTACTCCAGGGCTGGTCTGAGAAAGCTGAGGGCAGGGCTTTCGTCCTCTGGCTGAAATCTAGGGTGCAGTGCTGGTTTGCTTCCTGGGCTCCAACCCTGGGAGAAAAGGGAAAGCTGGTTTCTAGATTCTGTGTAATAATTCTTCACAAACAGATATAAGTAGAGCAGGCCAGGAAACGAAGGGGGCTGAACGAACAAGCCCACCGGGGGTGGCCCAAACATAAGCGCATCCCTGGATCTCTCCTGGTGCTTGGAGCCCTGACCCACCGGACTACAGAAAGCCCAGACTGTGGAGTGACCCCAAGGGCTCCCTCAGGAGGCCCCGCAGGAGCCCTGGGAAACCCCATGCCGGGCCTCACCCAGTCAAGAGCTGTCCCCAGCTCTGTGGCTGCCCTGCCTGGGAGGCTGCTGCTGGAGTGTCCTCCTCCTGCTTCCAGCTCTCCAGCTGGGAAGCACCATCACCTACATCCTTCAGACAGATCACCCCCTGCCCCCGTACGAAAGCCCACGGGCCGTCGTGGCTGGAGGGGTGCTGACCCAGGGGCCGGCTGGCCCCGCCTCGTCCTGCACTGCCAGCCTCCTTCTTGGGACATCTTCCTGGGGATCCCCCTCAAGTCCCTTTCCAGAACACGTCCTTAGTCCAACGCACAGGTGCGTAAATGTCTGAACTCCAGTGATGAGGCCGCAACCTTTCCCACAGGATCCCTGGGCCCCATGCAAAAAAGGGTTTGGATGCACACGGGTCTCCACATCCAGAACATTCCATGATGGCCAAGGAGTGCAGGAACATGGAACATGCTAAGGCAGGGAGCCAGTCATTCAGGACACACAGATGACATCGGTGCAGGGGAGCAGGGCGGGGAGAGGGGATGCCAACCTGACACCCCGACGTCCAGCCCCAAATCCTATAAGGTCTGAATTTATACGGCGAGGGCGCAGAAACAGATCAAAACGTACCCGGAGTAGGTGAGGCTCGTTAAGAGTCGCCTCCTGAGCGTCTCTTCTGAAGCTTGCTTGCTGCCATCTTCCCACCACCCCATCCCGCTGGCCTGGGAGCGGGAGGACTCCAGTGTGGCCTTGGCCGGCTCCCCGCAGTGCTAGGCCCTCAGCTGGTGTTCGTTCTGTTAATGAAGCCCTTGCCTGCTGTCTCCCAGCTCCCCGTGCTCCCCAAGGGCAGGGTCCTTCTGCGCCCGCTGCTGTCCCCATGCATCATGGGCCACAGCACACAGGAGGCCCCGAGATGCCACCTGCCATCCTCCGCAGCTGTAGACCTTCCCTCCTGTGCACATGAGAAAGGTCAGCCTACCTGCTCACGGAAACCGCCGTTTGCTGGGTGTCTTTGACTCTCATCTTCTTAGAATTTCAGATAAACACGCTTCCTTCACAAATGCCGACGGTAAAGTGACGGTCACTCCACATAGCAAATGCAAGGTTGCCGTTAACGGGGTGCCCATCACCACCAGGACAAAGCTGCAGCATTTGGTAAACTTTCCTGCAGGCTCACAGAATGTCCTAGGTCCCCCCCAAGAGCTGGGAGGGGACAGTCATGTGAGGTGCCCACATCACAGACGTGGCAGGATGGGGCGTTCACACCAGCTCCTCTGCCACCATGGCTTGGGGACAACATGGCACCACTGCTGGAGGGACAGGCCTGCTCCTGACTCACTGTGTGGTCTTGGGCAAGTCACTTCACTCCTCTGACCTCACCTGGAAAACAAGGAGGGCTGAACTAGGTGTTCTCCAAGGTCCCTTCCAGCTCTAACATTTTGTGCCATTTTAGATTTTTCTAAGAGCCTGTCACTGAGAGGGGTTGAACAGCATCTTGCAAACATCGCTGCCTCTTCCTCCCCAATCTGCCAACCCTGGGGCCCCTGCCAGCTTCCCAGCAGCCCTCTCCCCTCCCTGGTGGCCACAGCCTTTCAGACAGGACAGGCAGATGGGGATTGGCCGCTCCCCATTTGGAAAGCCCC